>NC_000002.12:93087651-93296007 GCF_000001405.40 Homo sapiens
AGACAGAAGCATTCTCAGAAACTTATTTGTGATGTGCGCCCTCAACTAACAGTGTTGAACCTTTCTTTTGATAGAGCAGTTTTGAAACACTCTTTTTGTAAAATCTGTAAGAGGATATTTGGATAGCTTTGAGGATTTCGTTGGAAACGGGATTGTCTTCATATAAACTCTAGACAGAAGCATTCTCAGAAGCTTCATTGGGATGTTTCAATTGAAGTCACAGTGTTGAACAGTCCCTTTCATAGAGCAGGTTTGAAACACTCTTTTTGTAGTATCTGGAAGTGGACATTTGGAGAGATCTCAGGAATACGGTGATAAAGGAAATATCTTCCAATAAAAGCTAGATAGAAGCAATGTCAGAAACTTTTTCATGATGTATCTACTCAGCTAACAGAGTTGAACCTTTCTTTTGAGAGAGCAGTTTTGAAACACTCTTTTTGTGGAATCTGCAAGTGGATATTTGTCTAGCATTGAGGATTTCGTTGGAAACGGGATTACATATAAAAAGCAGACAGCAGCATTCCCAGAAACTTCTTTGTGATGTTTGCATTCAAGTCACAGAGTTGAACATTCCCTTTCATAGAGCAGGTTTGAAACACTCTTTTTGTAGTATCTGGATGTGGACATTTGGAGCGCTTTCAGGCCTATGGTGAAAAAGGAAATAACTTCCCCTGAAAACTAGACAGAATCATTCTCAGAAACTTATTTGTGATGTGCGCCCTCAACTAACAGTGTTGAACCTTTCTTTTCATAGAGCAGTTTTGAAACACTCTTTTTGTAAAATCTGCAAGAGGATATTTGGATAGCTTTGAGGATTTCGTTGGAAACGGGATTGTCTTCATTTAAACTCTAGACAGAAGCATTCTCAGAAACTATATTGGGATGTTTAAATTTAAGTCACAGTGTTGAACAGTCCCTGTCATAGAGCAGGTTTGAAACACTCTTTTTGTAGTATCTGGAAGTGGACATTTGGAGCGCTCTCAGGACTACGGTGAAAAAGAAATATCTTCCAATAAAAGCTAGATAGAAGAAAAGTCAGAAACTTTTTCATGATGTATCTACTCAGCTAACAGAGTTGAACCTTTCTTTTGAGAGAGCAGTTTTGAAACACTGTTTTTGTGGAATCTGCAAGTGGATATTTGTCTACCTTTGAGGATTTCGTTGGAAACGGGATTACATATAAAAAGCAGACAGCAGCATTCCCAGAAACTTCTTTGTGATGTTTGCATTCAAGTCACAGAGTTGAACATTCCCTTTCATAGTAGCAGGTTTGAAACACTCTTTTTGTAGTATCTGGATGTGGACATTTGGAGCGCTTTCAGGCCTATGGTGAAAAAGGAAATATCTTCCCCTGAAAACTAGACAGAAGCATTCTCAGAATCTTATTTGTGATGTGCGCCCTCAACTAACAGAGTTGAAGCTTTCTTTTGATAGAGCAGTTTTGAAACACTCTTTTTGTAAAATCTGCAAGAGGATATTTGGATAGCTTTGAGGATTTCGTTGGAAACGGGATTGTCTTCATATAAACTCTAGACAGAAGCATTCTCAGAAGCTTCATTGGGATGTTTCAATTGAAGTCACAGTGTTGAACAGTCCCTTTCATAGAGCAGGTGTGAAACACTCTTTTTGTAGTATCTGGATGTGGACATTTGGAGCGCTTTCAGGACTATGGTGAGAAAGGAAATATCTTCCCCTGAAAAGTAGACAGAAGCATTCTCAGAAACTTATTTGTGATGTGCGCCCTCAACTAACAGTGTTGAAGCTTTCTTTTGATAGAGCAGTTTTGAAACACTCTTTTTGTGGAATCTGCAAGTGGATATTTGTCTAGCTTTGAGGATTTCGTTGGAAACGGGATTACATATAAAAAGCAGACAGCAGCAATGTCAGAAACTTTTTCATGATGTATCTACGCAGCTAACAGAGTTGAACCTTTCTTTTGAGAGAGCAGTTTTGAAACACTCTTTTTGTGGAATCTGCAAGTGGATATTTGTCTAGCTTTGAGGATTTCGTTGGAAACGGGATTACATATAAAAAGCAGACAGCAGCATTCCCAGTAACTTCTTTGTGATGTTTGCATTCAAGTCACAGAGTTGAACATTCCCTTTCACAGAGCAGGTTTGAAACACTTTTTTTGTAGTATCTGGATGTGGACATTTGGAGCGCTTTCAGGCCTATGGTGAAAAAGGAAATATCTTCCAATAAAAGCTACATAGAAGCAATGTCAGAAACTTTTTCATGATGTATCTACTCAGCTAACAGAGTTGAACCTTTCTTTTGAGAGAGCAGTTTTGAAACACTCTTTTTGTGGAATCTGGAAGTGGATATTTGTCTAGCTTTGAGGATTTCGTTGGAAACGGGATTACATATAAAAAGCAGACAGCAGCATTCCCAGTAACTTCTTTGTGATGTTTGCATTCAAGTCACAGAGTTGAACATTCCCTTTCATAGAGCAGGTTTGAAACACTCTTTTTGCAGTATCTGGATGTGGACATTTGGAGCGCTTTCAGGCCTATGGTGAAAAAGGAAATATCTTCCCCTGAAAACTAGACAGAAGCATTCTCAGAAACTTATTTGTGATGTGCACCCTCAACTAACAGTGTTGAAGCTTTCTTTTGACAGAGCAGTTTGAAACACTCTTTTTGTAAAATCTCCAAGAGGATATTTGCATAGCTTTGAGGATTTCGGTGGAAATGGGATTGTCTTCATATAAACTCTAGACAGTAGCATTCTCAGAAGCGTCATTGGGATATTTCAATTGAAGTCACAGTGTTGAACGGTCCCTTTCATAGAGCAGGTTTGAAACACTCTTTTTGTAGTATCTGGATGTGGACATTTGGAGCGCTTTCAGGCCTATGGTTTAAAAGGAAATATCTTCCCCTGAAAACTAGACAGAAGCATTCTCAGAAACTTATTTGTGATGTGCGCCCTCAACTAACAGTGTTGAAGCATTCTTTTGATAGAGCAGTTTTGAAACACTCTTTTTGTGGAATCTGCAAGTGGATATTTGTCTAGCTTTGAGGATTGCGTTGGAAACGGGATTACATATAAAAAGCAGACAGCAGCATTCTCAGAAACTTATTTGTGATGTGCGCCCTCAACTAACAGTGTTGAAGCTTTATTTTGATAGAGCAGTTTTGAAACACTCTTTTTGTAATATCTGCAAGAGAATATTTGGATAGCTTTGAGGATTTCGTTGGAAACGGGATTGTCTTCATATAAACTCTAGAAAGAAGCATTCTCAGAAGCTTCATTGGGATGTTTCAATTAAAGTCACAGTGTTGAACAGTCCCTTTCATAGAGCAGGTTTGAAACACTCTTTTTGTAGTATCTGGAAGTGGACATTTGGAGCGCTCTCCGGACTGTGGTGAAAAAGGAAATATCTTCCAATAAAAGCTAGATAGAAGCAATGTCAGAAACTTTTTCATGATGTATCTACTCAGCTAACAGAGTTGAACCTTTCTTTTGAGAGAGCACTTTTGAAACACTCTTTTTGTGGAATCTGCAAGTGGATATTTGTCTAGCTTTGAGGATTTCGTTGGAAACGGGATTACATATAAAAAGCAGACAGCAGCATTCCCAGAAACTTCTTTGTGATGTTTGCATTCAAGTCACAGAGTTGAACATTCCCTTTCATAGAGCAGGTTTGAAACACTCTTTTTGTAGTATCTGGATGTGGACATTTGGAGCGCTTTCAGGCCTATGGTGAAAAAGGAAATATCTTCCCCTGAAAACTAGACAGAAGCATTCTCAGAATCTTATTTGTGATGTGCGCCCTCAACTAACAGTGTTGAAGCTTTCTTTTGATAGAGCAGTTTTGAAACACTCTTTTCGTAAAATCTGCAAGAGGATATTTTGATAGCTTTGAGGATTACGTTGGAAACGGGATTGTCTTCAAATAAACTCTAGACAGAAGCATTCTCAGAAGCTTCATTGGGATGTTTCAATTGAAGTCACAGTGTTGAACAGTCCCTTTCATAGAGCAGGTTTGAAACACTCTTTTTGTAGTATCTGGATGTGGACATTTGGAGCGCTTTCAGGCCTATGGTTTAAAAGGAAATATCTTCCCCTGAAAACTAGACAGAAGCATTCTCAGAAACTTATTTGTGATGTGCGCCCTCAACTAACAGTGTTGAAGCTTTCTTTTGACAGAGCAGTTTTGAAACACTCTTTTTGTGGAATCTGCAAGTGGATATTTGTCTAGCTTTGAGGATTTCGTTGGAAACGGGATTACATATAAAAAGCAGACAGCAGCATTCTCAGAAACTTATTTGTGATGTGCGCCCTCAACTAACAGTGTTGAAGCTTTCTTTTGATAGAGCAGTTTTGAAACACTCTTTTTGTAATATCTGCAAGAGGATATTTGGATAGCTTTGAGGATTTCGTTGGAAACGGGATTAATTATACAAAGCAGACAGCAGCATTCTCAGAAGCTTCATTGGGATGATTCTACTGAAGTCACAGTGTTGAACAGTCCCTTTCATAGAGCAGGTTTGAAACACTCTTTTTGTAGTATCTGGAAGTGGACATTTGGAGCGCTCTCAGGACTACGGTGAGAAAGGAAATATGTTCCAATAAAAGCTAGATAGAAGCAATGTCAGAAAATTTTTCATGATGTATCTACTCAGCTAACAGAGTTGAACCTTTCTTTTGAGAGAGCAGTTTTGAAACACTCTTTTTGTGGAATCTGCAAGTGGATATTTGGCTAGTTTGAGGATTTCGTTGGAAACGGGATTACATATAGAAAGCAGACAGCAGCATTCCCAGAAACTTCTTTGTGATGTTTGCATTCAAGTCACAGAGTTGAACATTCCCTTTCATAGAGCAGGTTTGAAACACTCTTTTTGTAGTATCTGGATTTGGACATTTGGAGCGCTTTCAGGCCTATGGTGAAAAAGGAAATATCTTCCACTGAAAACTAGACAGAAGCATTCTCAGAATCTTATTTGTGATGTGCGCCCTCAACTAACAGTGTTGAAGCTTTCTTTTGATAGAGCAGTTCTGAAACACTCTTTTTGTAAAATCTGCAAGAGGATATTTGGATAGCTTTGAGGATTTCGTTGGAAACGGGATTGTCTTCATATAAACTCCAGACAGAAGCATTCTCAGAAGCTTCATTGGGATGTTTCAATTGAAGTCACAGTGTTGAACAGTCCCTTTCATAGAGCAGGTTTGAAACACTCTTTTTGTAGTATCTGGATGTGGACATTTCGAGCGCTTTCAGGCCTATGGTGAAAAAGGAAATATCTTCCCCTGAAAACTAGACAGAAGCATTCTCAGAAACTTATTTGTGATGTGCGCCCTCAACTAACAGTGTTGAAGCATTCTTTTGATAGAGCAGTTTTGAAAAACTCTTTTTCTGGAATCTGCAAGTGGATATTTGTCTAGCTTTGAGGATTTCGTTGGAAACGGGATTACATATAAAAAGCAGACAGCAGCATTCTCAGAAACTTATTTGTGATGTGCGCCCTCAACTAACAGTGTTGAAGCTTTCTTTTGATAGAGCAGTTTTGAAACACTCTTTTTGTAATATCTGCAAGAGGATATTTGGATAGCTTTGAGGATTTCGTTGGAAACGGGATTAATTATACAAAGCAGACAGCAGCATTCTCAGAAGCTTCATTGGGATGTTTCAATTGAAGTCACAGTGTTGAACAGTCCCTTTCATAGAGCAGGTTTGAAACACTCTTTTTGTAGTATCTGGAAGTGGACATTTGGAGCGCTCTCAGGACTGCGGTGAAAAAGGAAATATCTTCCAATAAAAGCTAGATAGAAGCAATGTCAGAAACTTTTTCATGATCTATCTACTCAGCTAACAGAGTTGAACCTTTCTTTTGAGAGAGCAGTTTTGAAACACTCTTTTTGTGGAATCTGCAAGTGGATATTTGTCTAGCTTTGAGGATTTCGTTGGAAACGGGATTACATATAAAAAGCAGACAGCAGCATTCCCAGAAACTTCTTTGTCATGTTTGCATTCAAGTCACAGAGTTGAACATTCCCTTTCATAGAGCAGGTTTGAAACACTCTTTTTGTAGTATCTGGATGTGGACATTTGGAGCGCTCTCAGGCCTATGGTGAAAAAGGAAATATCTTCCCCTGAAAACTAGACAGAAGCATTCTCAGAATCTTATTTGTGATGTGCGCCCTCAACTAACAGTGTTGAAGCTTTCTTTTGATAGAGCAGTTTTGAAACACTCTTTTCGTAAAATCTGCAAGAGGATATTTTGATAGCTTTGAGGATTTCGTTGGAAACGGGATTGTCTTCATATAAACTCTAGACAGAAGCATTCTCAGAAGCTTCATTGGGATGTTTCAATTGAAGTTGCAGTGTTGAACAGTCCCTTTCATAGAGCAGGTTTGAAACACTCTTTTTGTAGTATCTGGATGTGGACATTTGGAGCGCTTTCAGGCATATGGTTTAAAAGGAAATATCTTCCCCTGAAAACTAGACAGAAGCATTCTCAGAAACTTATTTGTGATGTGTGTACTCAACTAACAGAATTCAACAATCGTTTTGAAGGAGCAGTTTTGAAACACTCTTTTTGTGGAATCTGCAAGTGCATATGTAGCTAGATTTGAGGATTTCGTTGGAAACGGGATTACATATAAAAAGCAGACAGCAGCATTCTCAGAAACTTATTTGTGATGTGCGCCCTCAACTAACAGTGTTGAAGCTTTCTTTTGATAGAGCAGTTTTGAAACACTCTTTTTGTAATATCTGCAAGAGGATATTTGGATAGCTTTGAGGATTTCGTTGGAAACGGGATTAATTATACAAAGCAGACAGCAGCATTCTCAGAAGCTTCATTGGGATGTTTCAATTGAAGTCACAGTGTTGAACAGTCCCTTTCATAGAGCAGGTTTGAAACACTCTTTTTGTAGTATCTGGAAGTGGACATTTGGAGCGTTGTCAGGACTACAGTGGAAAAGGAAATATCTTCCAATAAAAGCTAGATAGAAGCAATGTCAGAAAATTTTTCATGATGTATCTACTCAGCTAACAGAGTTGAACCTTTCTTTTGAGAGAGCAGTTTTGAAACACTCTTTGTGTGGAATCTGCAAGTGGATATTTGTCTAGGTTTGAGGATTGCGTTTGAAACGGGATTACATATAAAAAGCAGACAGCAGCATTCCCAGAAACTTCTTGGTGATATTTGCATTTAAGTCACAGACTTGAACATTCCCTTTCATAGAGCAGGTTTGAAACACTCTTTTGGTAGTATCTGGATGTGGACATTTGGAGCGCTTTCAGGCCTATGGTGAAAAAGGAAATATCTTCCCCTGAAAGCTAGACAGAAGCATTCTCAGAATCTTATTTGTGATGTGCGCCCTCAACTAACAGTGTTGAAGCTTTCTTTTGATAGAGCAGTTTTGAAACACTCTTTTTGTAAAATCTGCAAGAGGATATTTGGATAGCTTTGAGGATTTCGTTGGAAACGGGATTGTCTTCATATAAACTCTAGACAGAAGCATTCTCAGAAGCTTCATTGGGATGTTTCAATTGAACTCACAGTGTTGAACAGTCCCTTTCATAGAGCAGGTTTGAAACACTCTTTTTGTAGTATCTGGATGTGGACATTTGGAGCGCTTTCAGGCCTATGGTTTAAAAGGAAATATCTTCCCCTGAAAACTAGACAGAAGCATTCTCAGAAACTTATTTGTGATGTGCGCCCTCAACTAACAGTGTTGAAGCATTCTTTTGATAGAGCAGTTTTGAAACACTCTTTTTGTGGAATCTGCAAGTGGATATTTGTCTAGCTTTGAGGATTTCGTTGGAAACGGGATTAATTATAAAAAGCAGACAGCAGCATTCTCAGCAAACTTATTTGTGATGTGCGCCCTCAACTAACAGTGTGGAACTTTTCTTTTGATAGAGCAGTTTTGAAACACTCTTTTTGTAAAATCTGCAAGAGGATATTTGGATAGCTTTGAGGATTTCGTTGGAAACGGGATTGTCTTCATATAGAATCTAGACAGAAGCATTCTCAGAAGCTTCATTGGGATGTTTCAATTGAAGTCACAGTGTTGAACAGTCCCTTTCATAGAGCAGGTTTGAAACACTCTTTTTGTAGTATCTGGAAGTGGACATTTGGAGCGTTCTCAGGACTACGGTGAAAAAGGAAATATCTTCCAATTAAAGCTAGATAGAAGCAATGTCAGAAACTTTTTCATGATGTATCTACTCAGCTAACAGAGTTGAACCTTTCCTTTGAGAGAGCAGTTTTGAAACACTCTTTTTGTGGAATCTGCAGGTGGATATTTGTCTAGTTTTGAGGATTTCGTTGGAAACGGGATTACATATAAAAAGCAGACAGCAGCATTCCCAGAAACTTCTTTGTGATGTTTGCATTCAAGTCACAGAGTTGAACATTCCCTTTCAGAGAGCAGGTTTGAAACACTCTTTTTGTAGTATCTGGATGTGGACATTTGGAGCGCTTTCAGGCCTATGGTGAAAAAGGAAATATCTTCCCCTGAAAACTAGACAGAAGCATTCTCAGAATTTTATTTGTGATGTGCGCCCTCAACTAACAGTGTTGAAGCTTTCTTTTGATAGAGCAGTTTTGAAACACTCTTTTTGTAAAATCTGCTAGAGGATATTTGGATAGTTTTGAGGATTTCTTTGGAAACGGGATTGTCTTCATATAAACTCTAGACAGAAGCATTCTCAGATGCTTCATTGGGATGTTTCAATTGAAGTCACAGTGTTGAACAGTCCCTTTCATAGAGCAGGTTTGAAACACTCTTTTTGTAGTATCTGGATGTGGACATTTGGAGCGCTTTCAGGCCTATGGTGAAAAAGGAAATATCTTCCCCTGAAAACTAGACAGAAGCATTCTCAGAATCTTATTTGTGATGTGGGCCCTCAACTAACAGTGTTGAAGCTTTCTTTTGGTAGAGCAGTTTTGAAACACTCATTTTGTGGAATCTGCAAGTGGATATTTGTCTAGCTTTGAGGATTTCGTTGGAAACGGGATTACATATAAAAAGCAGACAGCAGCATTCCCAGAAACTTCTTTGTGATGTTTGCATTCAAGTCACAGAGTTGAACATTCCCTTTCATAGAGCAGGTTTAAAACACTCTTTTTGTACTATCTGGATGTGGACATTTTGAGCGCTTTCAGGCCTATGGTGAAAAAGGAAATATCTTCCCCTGGAAACTAGACAGAAGCATTCTCAGAAGCTTCATTGGGATGTTTCAATTGAAGTCACAGTGTTGAACAGTCCCTTTCATAAAGCAGGTTTGAAACACTCTTTTTGTAGTATCTGGAAGTGGACATTTGGAGCGCTCTCAGGACTACGGTGAAAAAGGAAATATCTTCCAATAAAAGCTAGATAGAAGCAGTGTCAGAAACTTTTTCATGATGCATCTACTCAGCTAACAGAGTTGAACCTTTCTTTTCTGAGAGCAGTTTTGAAACACTATTTTTGTGGAATCTGCAAGTGGATATTTGTCTAGCTTTGAGGATTTCGTTGGAAACGGGATTACATATAAAAAGCAGACAGCAGCATTCCCAGAAACTTCTTTGTGAAATTTGCATTCAAGTCACAGACTTGAACATTCCCTTTCATAAAGCAGGTTTGAAACACTCTTTTTGTAGTATCTGGATGTGGACATTTGGAGCGTTTTCAGGCCTATGGTGAAAAAGGAAATATCTTCCCCTGCAAACTAGACAGAAGCATTCTCAGAAACTTATTTGTGATGTGCGCTCTCAACTAACAGTGTTGAACCTTTCTTTTGATAGAGCAGTTTTGAAACACTCTTTTTGTAAAATCTGCAAGAGGATATTTGGATAGCTTTGAGGATTTCGTTGGAAAGGGGATTGTCTTCATATAGAATCTAGAAAGAAGAATTCTCAGAAGCTTCATTGGGATGTTTCAATTGAAGTCACAGTGTTGAACAGTCCCTTTCATAGAGCAGGTTTGAAACACTCTTTTTGTAGTATCTGGAAGTGGACATTTGGAGCGTTCTCAGGACTACAGTGAAAAAGGAAATATCTTCCAATAAAAGCTAGATAGAAGCATTCTCAGAAACTTATTTGTGATGTGCGCCCTCAACTAACAGTGTTGAAGCATTCTTTTGATAGAGCAGTTTTGAAACACTCTTTTTGTGGAATCTGCAAGTGGATATTTGTCTAGCTTTGAGGATTTCGTTGGAAACGGGATTACATATAAAAAGCAGACAGCAGCATTCTCAGCAAACTTATTTGTGATGTGCGCCCTCAACTAACAGTGTGGAACTTTTCTTTTGATAGAGCAGTTTTGAAACACTCTTTTTGTAAAATCTGCAAGAGGATATTTGGATAGCTTTGAGGATTTCGTTGGAAACGGGATTGTCTTCATATAGAATCTAGACAGAAGCATTCTCAGAAGCTTCATTGGGATGTTTCAATTGAAGTCACAGTGTTGAACAGTCCCTTTCATAGAGCAGGTTTGAAACACTCTTTTTGTAGCATCTGGAAGTGGACATTTGGAGCGTTCTCAGGACTACGGTGAAAAAGGAAATATCTTCCAATAAAAGCTAGATAGAAGCAATGTCAGAAACTTTTTCATGATGTATCTACTCAGCTAACAGAGTTGAACCTTTCTTTTGAGAGAGCAGTTTTGAAACACTCTTTTTGTGGAATCTGCAAGTGGCTATTTGTCTAGATTTGAGGATTTCGTTGGAAACAGGATTACATATAAAAAGCAGACAGCAGCATTCCCAGAAACTTCTTTGTGATGTTTGCATTCAAGTCACAGAGTTGAACATTCCCTTTCATAGAGCAGGTTTGAAACACTCTTTTTGTAGTATCTGGATGTGGACATTTACAGCGCTTTCAGGCCTAAGGTGAAAAAGGAAATATCTTCCCCTGAAAACTAGACAGAAGCATTCTCAGAAACTTATTTGTGATGTGCGCCCTCAACTAACAGTGTTGAAGCTTTCTTTTGATAGAGCAGTTTTGAAACACTCTTTTTGTGGAATCTGCAAGTGGATATTTGTCTAGCTTTGAGGATTTCGTTGGAAACGGGATTACATATAAAAAGCAGACAGCAGCATTCTCAGAAACTTATTTGTGATGTGCGCCCTCAACTAACAGTGTTGAAGCTTTATTTTGATAGAGCAGTTTTGAAACACTCTTTTTGTAATATCTGCAAGAGAATATTTGGATAGCTTTGAGGATTTCGTTGGAAACGGGATTGTCTTCATATAAACTCTAGAAAGAAGCATTCTCAGAAGCTTCATTGGGATGTTTCAATTGAAATCACAGTGTTGAACAGTTCCCTTTCATAGAACAGGTTTGAAACACTCTTTTTGTAGTATCTGGAAGTGGACATTTGGAGCGCTCTCAGGACTATGGTGAAAAAGGAAATATCTTCCAATAAAAGCTACATAGAAGCAATGTCAGAAACTTTTTCATGATGTATCTACTCAGCTAACAGAGTTGAACCTTTCTTTTGAGAGAGCAGTTTTGAAACACTCTTTTTGTGGAATCTGCAAGTGGATATTTTTCTAGCTTTGAGGATTTCGTTGGAAACGGGATTACATATAAAAAGCAGACAGCAGCATTCCCAGAAACTTCTTTGTGATGTTTGTATTCAAGTCACAGAGTTGAACATTCCCTTTCATAGAGCAGGTTTGAAACACTCTTTTTGTAGTATCTGGATGTGGACATTTGGAGCGCTTTCAGGCCTATGGTGAAAAAGGAAATATCTTCCCCTGAAAACTAGACAGAAGCATTCTCAGAATCTTATTTGTGATGTGCGCCCTCAACTAACAGAGTTGAAGCTTTCTTTTGATAGAGCAGTTTTGAAACACTCTTTTTGTAAAATCTGCAAGAGGATATTTGGATAGCTTTGAGGATTTCGTTGGAAACGGGATTGTCTTCATATAAACTCTAGACAGAAGCATTCTCAGAAGCGTCATTGGGATGTTTCAATTGAAGTCACAGTGTTGAACAGTCCCTTTCATAGAGCAGGTTTGAAACACTCTTTTTGTAGTATCTGGATGTGGACATTTGGAGCGCTTTCAGGCCTATGGTTTAAAAGGAAATATCTTCCCCTGAAAACTAGACAGAAGCATTCTCAGAAACTTATTTGTGATGTGCGCCCTCAACCAACAGTGTTGAAGCTTTCTTTTGACAGAGCAGTTTTGAAACACTCTTTTTGTGGAATCTGCAAGTGGATATTTGTCTAGCTTTGAGGATTTCGTTGGAAACGGGATTACATATAAAAAGCAGACAGCCGCTTTCTCAGAAACTTATTTGTGATGTGCGCCCTCAACTAACAGTGTTGAAGCTTTCTTTTGATAGAGCAGTTTTGAAACACTCTTTTTGTAATATCTGCAAGAGGATATTTGGATAGCTTTGAGGATTTCGTTGGAAACGGGATTGTCTTCATATAAACTCTAGACAGAAGCATTCTCAGAAGCTTCATTGGGATGTTTCAATTGAAGTCACAGTGTTGAACAGTTCCTTTCATAGAACAGGTTTGAAACACTCTTTTTGTAGTATCTGGAAGTGGACATTTGGAGCGCTCTCAGGACTATGGTGAAAAAGGAAATATCTTCCAATAAAAGCTACATAGAAGCAATGTCAGAAACTTTTTCATGATGTATCTACTCAGCTAACAGAGTTGAACCTTTCCTTTGAGAGAGCAGTTTTGAAACACTCTTTTTGTGGAATCTGCAAGTGGATATTTGTCCAGCTTTGAGGATTTCGTTGGAAACGGGATTACATATAAAAAGCAGACAGCAGCATTCCCAGTAACTTCTTTGTGATGTTTTCATTCAAGTCACAGAGTTGAACATTCCCTTTCATAGAGCAGGTTTGAAACACTCTTTTTGTAGTATCTGGATGTGGACATTTGGAGCGCTTTCAGACCTATGGTGAAAAAGGAAATATCTTCCCCTGAAAACTAGACAGAAGCATTCTCAGAAACTTATTTGTGATGTGCGCCCTCAACTAACAGTGTTGAACCTTTCTTTTGATAGAGCAGTTTTGAAACACTCTTTTTGTAATATCTGCAAGAGGATATTTGGATAGCTTTGAGGATTTCGTTGGAAACGGGATTGTCTTCATATAAACTCTAGACAGAAGCATTCTCAGAAGCTTCATTGGGATGTTTCAATTGAAGTCACAGTGTTGAACAGTCCCTTTCATAGAGCAGGTTTGAAACACTCTTTTTGTAGTATCTGGAAGTGGACATTTGGAGAGATCTCAGGAATACGGTGATAAAGGAAATATCTTCCAATAAAAGCTAGATAGAAGCAATGTCAGAAACTTTTTCATGATGTATCTACTCAGCTAACAGAGTTGAACCTTTCTTTTGAGAGAGCAGTTTTGAAACACTCTTTTTGTGGAATCTGCAAGAGGATATTTGTCTAGCTTTGAGGATTTCGTTGGAAACGGGTTTACATATAAAAAGCAGACAGCAGCATTCCCAGAATCTTCTTTGTGATGTTTGCATTCAAGTCACAGAGTTGAACATTCCCTTTCATAGAGCAGGTTTGAAACACTCTTTTTGTAGTATCTGGATGTGGACATTTGGAGCGCTTTCAGGCCTATGGTGAAAAAGGAAATATACTTCCCCTGAGAACTAGACAGAAGCATTCTCAGAATCTTATTTGTGATGTGCGCCCTCAACTAACAGTATTGAAGCTTTCTTTTGATAGAGCAGTTTTGAAACACTCTTTTTGTAAAATCTGCAAGAGGATATTTGGATAGCTTGGAGGATTTCTTTGGAAACGGGATTGTCTTCATATAAACTCTAGACAGAAGCATTCTCAGATGCTTCATTGGGATGTTTCAATTGAAGTCACAGTGTTGAACAGTCCCTTTCATAGAGCAGGTTTGAAACACTCTTTTTGTAGTATCTGGATGTGGACATTTGGAGCGCTTTCAGGCCTATGGTGAAAAAGGAAATATCTTCCCCTGAAAACTAGACAGAAGCATTCTCAGAAACTTATTTGTGATATGCGCCCTCAACTAACAGTGTTGAAGCTTTCTTTTGATAGAGCAGCTTTGAAACACTCTTTTTGTGGAATCTGCAAGTGGATATTTGTCTAGCTTTGAGGATTTCGTTGGAAACGGGATTACATATAAAAAGCAGACAGCAGCATTCTCAGAAACTTATTTGTGATGTGCGCCCTCAACTAACAGTGTTGAAGCTTTCTTTTGATAGAGCAGTTTTGAAACACTCTTTTTGTAATATCTGCAAGAGGATATTTGGATAGCTTTGAGGATTTCGTTGGAAACGGGATTAATTATACAAAGCAGACAGCAGCATTCTCAGAAGCTTCATTGGGATGTTTCAATTGATGTCACAGTGTTGAACAGTCCCTTTCATAGAGCAGGTTTGAAACACTCTTTTTGTAGTATCTGGAAGTGGACATTTGGAGCGCTCTCAGGACTACGGTGAAAAACGAAATATCTTCCAATAAAAGCTACATAGAAGCAATGTCAGAAACTTTTTCATGATGTATCTACTCAGCTAACAGAGTTGAACTTTCTTTTGAGAGAGCAGTTTTGAAACACTCTTTTTGTGGAATCTGCAAGTGGATATTTGTCTAGCTTTGAGGATTTCGTTGGAAACGGGATTACATATAAAAAGCAGACAGCAGCATTCCCACAAACTTCTTTGCGATGTTTGCATTCAAGTCACAGAGTTGAACATTCCCTTTCATAGAGCAGGTTTGAAACACTCTTTTTGTAGTATCTGGATGTGGACATTTGGAACGCTTTCAGGCCTATGGTGAAAAAGGAAATATCTTCCCCTGAAAACTAGACTGAAGTAGTCTCAGAAACTTATTTGTGATGTGCGCCCTCAACTAACAGTGTTGAAGCTTTCTTTTGATAGAGCAGTTTTGAAACGTTCTTTTTGTAAAATCTGCAAGAGGATATTTGGATAGCTTTGAGGATTTCGTTGGAAACGGGATTGTGTTCATATTAACCCTAGACAGTAGCATTCTCAGAAGCTTCATTGGGATGTTTCAATTGAAGTCACAGTGTTGAACAGTCCCTTTCATAGAGCAGGTTTGAAACACTGTTTTTGTAGTATCTGGATGTGGACATTTGGAGCGCTTTCAGGCCTATGGTGAAAAAGGAAATATCTTCTCCTGAAAACTAGACAGAAGCATTCTCAGAAACTTATTTGTGATGTGCGCCCTCAACTAACAGTGTTGAAGCTTTCTTTTGATAGAGCAGTTTTGAAACACTCTTTTTGTGGAATCTGCAAGTGGATATTTGTCTAGCTTTGAGGATTTCGTTGGAAACGGGATTACATATAAAAAGCAGACAGCAGCATTCTCAGCAAACTTATTTGTGATGTGCGCCCTCAACTAACAGTGTGGAACTTTTCTTTTGATAGAGCAGTTTTGAAACACTCTTTTTGTAAAATCTGCAAGAGGATATTTGGATAGCTTTGAGGATTTCGTTGGAAACGGGATTGTCTTCATATAGAATCTAGACAGAAGCATTCTCAGAAGCTTCATTGGGATGTTTCAATTGAAGTCACAGTGTTGAACAGTCCCTTTCATAGAGCAGGTTTGAAACACTCTTTTTGTAGTATCTGGAAAGTGGACATTTGGAGCGCTCTCAGGACTCTGGTGATAAAGGAAATATCTTCCAATAAAAGCTAGATAGAAGCAATGTCAGAAACTTTTTCATGATGTATCTACTCAGCTAACAGAGTTGAACCTTTCTTTTGAGAGAGCAGTTTTGAAACACTCTTTTTGTGGAATCTGCAAGTGGATATTTGTCTAGCTTTGAGGATTTCGTTGGAAACGGGATTACATATAAAAAGCAGACAGCAGCATTCCCAGAAACTTCTTTGTGATGTTTGCATTCAAGTCACACAGTTGAACATTCCCTTTCATAGAGCAGGTTTGAAACACTCTTTTTGTAGTATCTGGATGTGGACATTTGGAGCGCTTTCAGCCCTATGGTGAAAAAGGAAATATCTTCTCCTGAAAACTAGACAGAAGCATTCTCAGAATCTTATTTGTGATGTGCGCCCTCAACTAACAGTGTTGAAGCTTTCTTTTGATAGAGCAGTTTTGAAACACTCTTTTTGTAAAATCTGCAAGAGGATATTTGGATAGCTTTGAGGATTTCGTTGGAAACGGGATTGTCTTCATATAAACTCTAGACAGAAGCATTCTCAGAAGCTTCATTGGGATGTTTCAATTGAAGTCACAGTGTTAAACAGTCCCTTTCATAGAGCAGGTTTGAAACACTCTTTTTGTAGTATCTGGAAGTGGACATTTGGAGCGCTCTCAGGACTGCGGTGAAAAAGGAAATATCTTCCAATAAAAGCTAGATAGAAGCATTCTCAGAAACTTATTTGTGATGTGCGCCTTCAACTAACAGTGTTGAAGCATTCTTTTGATAGAGCAGTTTTGAAACACTCTTTTTGTGGAATCTGCAAGTGGATATTTGTCTAGCTTTGAGGATTTCGTTGGAAACGGGATTACATATAAAAAGCAGACAGCAGCATTCTCAGAAACTTATTTGTGATGTGCGCCCTCAACTAACAGTGTTGAAGCTTTCTTTTGATAGAGCAGTTTTGAAACACTCTTTTTGTAATATCTGCAAGAGGATATTTGGATAGCTTTGAGGATTTCGTTGGAAACGGGATTAATTATACAAAGCAGACAGCATCATTCTCAGAAGCTTCATTGGGATGTTTCAATTGAAGTCACAGTGTTGAACAGTCCCTTTCATAGAGCAGATTTGAAACACTCTTTTTGTAGTATCTGGAAGTGGACATTTGGAGCGTTCTCAGCACTACAGTGAAAAAGGAAATATCTTCCAATAAAAGCTAGACAGAAGCAATGTCAGAAACTTTTTCATGATGTATATACTCAGCTAACAGAGTTGAACCTTTCTTTTGAGAGAGCAGTTTTGAAACACTCTTTTTGTGGAATCTGCAAGTGGATATTTGTCTAGCTTTGAGGATTTCGTTGGAAACGGGATTACATATAAAAAGCAGACAGCAGCATTCCCAGAATCTTGTTTGTGATGTTTGCATTCAAGTCACAGAGTTGAACATTCCCTTTCAGAGAGCAGGTTTGAAACACTCTTTTTATAGTATCTGGATGTGGACATTTGGAGCGCTTTCAGGCCTATGGTGAAAAAGGAAATATCTTCTCCTGAAAACTAGACAGAAGCATTCTCAGAAACTTATTTGTGATGTGCGCCCTCAACTAACAGTGTTGAAGCTTTCTTTTGATAGAGCAGTTTTGAAACACTCTTTTTGTAATATCTGCAAGAGGATATTTGGATAGCTTTGAGGATTTCGTTGGAAACGGGATTGTCTTCATATAAACTCTAGGCAGAAGCATTCTCAGAAGCTTCATTAGATGTTTCAATTGAAGTTACAGTGTTGAACAGTCCCTTTCATAGAGCAGGTTTGAAACACTCTTTTTGTAGTATCTGGATGTGGACATTTGGAGCGCTTTCAGGCCTGTGGTTTAAAAGGAAATATCTTCCCCTGAAAACTAGACAGAAGCATTCTCAGAAACTTATTTGTGATGTGCTCCCTCAACTAACAGTGTTGAAGCATTCTTTTGATAGAGCAGTTTTGAAACACTCTTTTTGTGGAATCTGCAAGTGGATATTTGTCTAGCTTTGAGGATTTCGTTGGAAACGGGATTACATATAAAAAGCAGACAGCAGCATTCTCAGAAACTTATTTGTGATGTGCGCCCTCAACTAACAGTGTTGAAGCTTTCTTTTGATAGAGCAGTTTTGAAACACTCTTTTTGTAATATCTGCAAGAGGATATTTGGATAGCTTTGAGGATTTCGTTGGAAACGGGATTAATTATACAAAGCAGACAGCAGCATTCTCAGAAGCTTCATTGGGATGTTTCAATTGAAGTCACAGTGTTGAACAGTCCCTTTCATAGAGCAGGTTTGAAACACTCTTTTTGTAGTATCTGGAAGTGGACATTTGGAGCGCTCTCAGGACTACGGTGAAAAAGGAAATATCTTCCAATAAAAGCTACATAGAAGAAATGTCAGAAAATTTTTCATGATGTATCTACTCAGCTAACAGAGTTGAACCTTTCTTTGGAGAGAGTAGTTTTGAAACACTCTTTTTGTGGAATCTGCAAGTGGATATTTGTCTAGTTTTGAGGATTGCGTTGTAAATGGTATTACATATAAAAAGCAGACAGCAGCATTCCCAGAAACTTCTTTGTGATATTTGCATTCAAGTCACAGACTTGAACATTCCGTTTCATAGAGCAGGTTTGAAACACTCTTTTTGTAGTATCTGGATGTGGACATTTGGAGCGCTTTCAGGCCTATGGTGAAAAAGGAAATATCTTCCTCTGAAAACTAGACAGAAGCATTCTCAGAAACTTATTTGTCATGTGCGCCCTCAACTAACAGTGTTGAACCTTTCTTTTGATAGAGCAGTTTTGATACACTCTTTTTGTAAAATCCGCAAGAGGATATTTGGATAGCTTTGAGGATTTCGTTGGAAACGGGATTGTCTTCATATAGAATCTAGACAGAAGCATTCTCAGAAGCTTCATTGGGATGTTTCAATTGAAGTCACAGTGTTGAACAGTCCCTTTCATAGAGCAGGTTTGAAACACTCTTTTTGTAGTATCTGGATGTGGACATTTGGAGCGCTTTCAGGCCTATGGTGAAAAAGGAAATATCTTCCCCTGAAAACTAGACAGAAGCATTCTCAGAAACTTATTTGTGATGTGCGCCCTCAACTAACAGTGTTGAAGCATTCTTTTGATAGAGCAGTTTTGAAACACTCTTTTTGTGGAATCTGCAAGTGGATATTTGTCTAGCTTTGAGGATTTCGTTGGAAACGGGATTACATATAAAAAGCAGACAGCTAAGCATTCTCCGAAACTTATTTGTGATGGGCGCCCTCAACTAACAGTGTTGAAGCTTTCTTTTGATAGAGCAGTTTTGAAACACTCTTTTTGTAATATCTGCAAGAGGATATTTGGATAGCTTTCAGGATTTCGTTGGAAACGGGATTGTCTTCATATAAACTCTAGACATAAGCGTTCTCAGAAGCTTCATTGGGATGTTTCAATTGAAGTCACAGTGTTGAACAGTCCCTTTCATAGAGCAGGTTTGAAACACTCTTTTTGTAGTATCTGGAAGTGGACATTTGGAGCGCTCTCAGGACTGCGGTGAAAAAGGAAATATCTTCCAATAAAAGCTACATAGAAGCAATGTCAGAAAATTTTTCATGATGTATCTATTCAGCTAACAGAGTTGAACCTTTCTTTTGACAGAGCAGTTTTGAAACACTCTTTTTGTGGAATCTGCAAGTGGATATTTGTCTAGATTTGAGGATTTCGTTGGAAACGGGATTACATATAAAAAGCAGACAGCAGCATTCCCAGTAACTTCTTTGTGGTGTTTGCATTCAAGTCACAGAGTTGAACATTCCCTTTCATAGAGCAGGCTTGAAACACTCTTTTTGTAGTATCTGGATGTGGACATTTGGAGCGCTTTCAGGCCTATGGTGAAAAAGGAAATATCTTCCCCTGAAAACTAGACAGAAGCATTCTCAGAATCTTATTTGTGATGTGCGCCCTCAACTAACAGTGTTGAAGCTTTCTTTTGATAGAGCAGTTTTGAAACACTCTTTTTGTAAAATCTGCAAGAGGATATTTGGATAGCTTTGAGGATTTCGTTGGAAACGGGATTGTCTTCATATAAACTCTAGACAGAAGCATTCCCAGAAACTTCTTTGTGATGTTTGCATTCACGTCACAGAGTTGAACATTCCCTTTCATAGAGCAGGTTTGAAACACTCTTTTTGTAGTATCTGGATGTGGACACTTGGAGCGCTTTCAGGCCTATGGTGAAAAAGGAAATATCTTCCCCTGAAAACTAGACAGAAGCATTCTCAGAAACTTATTTGTGATGTGCGCCCTCAACTAACAGTGTTGAACCTTTCTTTTGATAGAGCAGTTTTGAAACACTCTTTTTGTAATATCTGCAAGAGGATATTTGGATAGCTTTGAGGATTTCGTTGGAAACGGGATTAATTATAAAAAGCAGATAGCAGCATTCTCAGAAACTTATTTGTGATGTGCGCCCTCAACTAACAGTGTTGAAGCTTTCTTTTGATAGAGCAGTTTTGAAACACTCTTTTTGTAATATCTGCAAGAGGATATTTGGATAGCTTTGAGGATTTCGTTGGAAACGGGATTAATTATACAAAGCAGACAGCAGCATTCTCAGAAGCTTCATTGGGATGTTTCAATTGAAGTCACAGTGTTGAACAGTCCCTTTCATAGAGCAGGTTTGAAACACTCTTTTTGTAGTATCTGGAGGTGGACATTTGGAGCGTTCTCAGGACTACAGTGGAAAAGGAAATATCTTCCAGTAAAAGCTAGATAGAAGCAATATCAGAAACTTTTTCATGATGTATCTACTCAGCTAACAGAGTTGAACCTTTCTTTTGAGAGAGCAGTTTTGAAACACTCTTTTTGTGGAATCTGCAAGTGGATATTTGTCTTGCTTTGAGGATTTCGTTGGAAACGGGATTACATATAAAAAGCAGACAGCAGCATTCCCAGAAACTTCTTTGTGATGTTTGCATTCAAGTCACAGAGTTGAACATTCCCTTTCATAGAGCAGGTTTGAAACACTCTTTTTGTAGTATCTGGATGTGGACATTTGCAGCGCTTTCAGGCCTAAGGTGAAAAAGGAAATATCTTCCCCTGAAAACTAGACAGAAGCATTCTCAGAATCTTATTTGTGATGTGCGCCCTCAACTAACAGTGTTGAACCTTTCTTTTGATAGAGCAGTTTTGAAACAGTCTTTTTGTAAAATCTGCAATGGGATATTTGGATAGCTTTGAGGATTTCGTTGGAAACGGGATTGTCTTCATATAAAATCTAGACAGAAGCATTCTCAGAAGCTTCATTGGGATGTTTCAATTGAAGTCACAGTGTTGAACAGTCCCTTTCATAGAGCAGGTTTGAAACACTCTTTTTGTAGTATCTGGAAGTGGACATTTGGAGCGTTCTCAGGACTACGGTGAAAAAGGAAATATCTTCCAATAAAAGCTAGATAGAAGCAATGTCAGAAACTTTTTCATGATGTATCTACTCAGCTAACAGAGTTGAACCTTTCTTTTGACAGAGCAGTTTTGAAACACTCTTTTTGTGGAATCTGCAAGTGGATATTTGTCTAGCTTTGATGATTTCGTTGGAAACGGGATTACGTATAAAAAGCAGACAGCAGCATTCCCAGGAAACTTCTTTGTGATGTTTGCATTCAAGTCACAGCAGTGGAACATTCCCTTTCATAGAGCAGGTTTGAAACACTCTTTTTGTAGTATCTGGATGTGGACATTTGGAGCGCTTTCAGGCCTAAGGTGAAAAAGGAAATATCTTCCCCTGAAAACTAGACAGAAGCATTCTCAGAAACTTATTTGTGATGTGCGCCCTCAACTAACAGTGTTGAAGCTTTCTTTTGATAGAGCAGTTTTGAAACACTCTTTTTGTAATATCTGCAAGAGGATATTTGGATAGCTTTGAGGATTTCGTTGGAAACGGGATTGTCTTCATATAAACTCTAGACAGAAGCATTCTCAGAAGCTTCATTGGGATGTTTCAACTGAAGTCACAGTGTTGAACAGTTCCTTTCATAGAACAGGTTTGAAACACTCTTTTTGTAGTATCTGGAAGTGGACATTTGGAGCACTCTCAGGACTGCGGTGAAAAAGGAAATATCTTCCAATAAAAGCTAGATAGAAGCATTCTCAGAAACTTATTTGTGATGTGCGCCCTCAACTAACAGTGTTGAAGCTTTCTTTTGATAGAGCAGTTTTGAAACACTCTTTTTGTGGAATCTGCAAGTGGATATTTGTCTAGCTTTGAGGATTTCGTTGGAAACGGGATTACATATAAAAAGCAGACAGCAGCATTCTCAGAAACTTATTTGTGATGTGCGCCCTCAACTAACAGTGTTGAAGCTTTCTTTTGATAGAGCAGTTTTGAAACACTCTTTTTGTAATATCTGCAAGAGGATATTTGGATAGCTTTGAGGATTTCGTTGGAAACGGGATTAATTATACAAAGCAGACAGCAGCATTCTCAGAAGCTTCATTGGGATGTTTCAATTGAAGTCACAGTGTTGAACAGTTCCTTTCATAGAACAGGTTTGAAACACTCTTTTTGTAGTATCTGGAAGTGGACATTTGGAGCGCTCTCAGGACTATGGTGAAAAAGGAAATATCTTCCAATAAAAGCTACATAGAAGCAATGTCAGAAACTTTTTCATGATGTATCTACTCAGCTAACAGAGTTGAACCTTTCCTTTGAGAGAGCAGTTTTGAAACACTCTTTTTGTTGAATCTGGAAGTGGATATTTGTCTAGCTTTGAGGATTTCGTTGGAAACGGGATTACATATAAAAAGCAGACAGCAGCATTCCCAGTAACTTCTTTGTGATGTTTGCATTCAAGTCACAGAGTTGAACATTCCCTTTCATAGAGCAGGTTTGAAACACTCTTTTTGTAGTATCTGGATGTGGACATTTGGAGCGCTTTCAGGCCTATGGTGAAAAAGGAAATATCTTCCCCTGAAAACTAGACAGAAGCATTCTCAGAATCTTATTTGTGATGTGCGCCCTCAACTAACAGTGTTGAAGCTTTCTTTTGATAGAGCAGTTTTGAAACACTCTTTTTGTAAATTCTGCAAGAGGATATTTGGATAGCTTTGAGGATTTCATTGGAAACGGGATTGTCTTCATATAAACTCTAGACAGAAGCATTCTCAGAAGCGTCATTGGGATGTTTCAATTGAAGTCACAGTGTTGAACAGTCCCTTTCATAGAGCAGGTTTGAAACACTCTTTTTGTAGTATCTGGATGTGGACATTTGGAGCGCTTTCAGGCCTATGGTTTAAAAGGAAATATCTTCCCTTGAAAACTAGACAGAAGCATTCTCAGAAACTTATTAGTGATGTGCGCCCTCAACTAACAGTGTTGAAGCTTTCTTTTGATAGAGCAGTTTTGAAACACTCTTTTTGTGGAATCTGGAAGTGGATATTTGTCTAGATTTGAGGATTTCGTTGGAAACGGGATTACATATAAAAAGCAGACAGCAGCATTCTCAGAAACTTATTTGTGATGTGCGCCCTCAACTAACAGTGTTGAAGCTTTCTTTTGATAGAGCAGTTTTGAAACACTCTTTTTGTAATATCTCCAAGAGGATATTTGGATAGCTTTGAGGATTTCGTTGGAAACGGGTTTGTCTTCATATAAACTCTAGACAGAAGCATTCTCAGAAGCTTCATTGGGATGTTTCAATTGAAGTCACAGTGTTGAACAGTCCCTTTCATAGAGCAGGTTTGAAACACTCTTTTTGTAGTATCTGGAAGTGGACATTTGGAACGCTCTCAGGACTGCCGTGAAAAAGGAAATATCTTCCAATAAAAGCTAGATAGAAGCAATGTCAGAAACTTTTTCATGATGTATCTACTCAGCTAACAGAGTTGAACCTTTCTTTTGAGAGAGCAGTTTTGAAACACTCTTTTTGTGGAATCTGCAAGTGGATATTTGTCTAGCTTTGAGGATTTCGTTGGAAACGGGATTACATATAAAAAGCAGACAGCAGCATTCCCAGAAACTTCTTTGTGATGTTTGCATTCAAGTCACAGAGTTGAACATTCCCTTTCAGAGAGCAGGTTTGAAACACTCTTTTTGTAGTATCTCGATGTGGACATTTGGAGCGCTTTCAGGCCTATGGTGAAAAAGGAAATATCTTCCCCTGAAAACTAGACAGAAGCATTCTCAGAATCTTATTGGTGATGTGCGCCCTCAACTAACAGTGTTGAAGCTTTCTTTTGATAGAGCAGTTTTGAAACACTCTTTTTGTAAAATCTGCAAGAGGATATTTGGATAGCTTTGAGGATTTCGTTGGAAACGGGATTGTCTTCATATAAACTCTAGACAGAAGCATTCTCAGAAGCTTCATTGGGATGTTTCAATTGAAGTCACAGTGTTGAACAGTCCCTTTCATAGAGCAGGTTTGAAACACTCTTTTTGTAGTATCTGGATGTGGACATTTCGAGCGCTTTCAGGCCTATGGTGAAAAAGGAAATATCTTCCCCTGAAAACTAGACAGAAGCATTCTCAGAAACTTATTTGTGATGTGCGCCCTCAACTAACAGTGTTGAAGCATTCTTTTGATAGAGCAGTTTTGAAACACTCTTTTTGTGGAATCTGCAAGTGGATATTTGTCTAGCTTTGAGGATTTCGTTGGAAACGGGATTAATTATAAAAAGCAGACAGCAGCATTCTCAGAAACTTATTTGTGATGTGCGCCCTCAACTAACAGTGTTGAAGCTTTATTTTGATAGAGCAGTTTTGAAACACTCTTTTTGTAATATCTGCAAGAGAATATTTGGATAGCTTTGAGGATTTCGTTGGAAACGGGATTGTCTTCATATAAACTCTAGAAAGAAGCATTCTCAGAAGCTTCATTGGGATGTTTCAATTGAAGTCACAGTGTTGAACAGTTCCTTTCATAGAACAGGTTTGAAACACTCTTTTTGTAGTATCTGGAAGTGGACATTTGGAGCGCTCTCAGGACTATGGTGAAAAAGGAAATATCTTCCAATAAAAGCTACATAGAAGCAATGTCAGAAAATTTTTCATGATGTATCTACTCAGCTAACAGAGTTGAACCTTTCTTTTGAGAGAGCAGTTTTGAAACACTCTTTTTGTGGAATCTGCAAGTGGATATTTGTCTAGCTTTGAGGATTTCGTTGGAAACGGGATTACATATAAAAAGCAGATAGCAGCATTCCCAGTAACTTCTTTGTGATGTTTGCATTCAAGTCACAGAGTTGAACATTCCCTTTCATAGAGCAGGTTTGAAACACTCTTTTTGTAGTATCTGGATGTGGACATTTGGAGCGCTTTCAGGCCTATGGTGAAAAAGGAAATATCTTCCCCTGAAAACTAGACAGAAGCATTCTCAGAAACTTATTTGTGATGTGCGCCCTCAACTAACAGTGTTGAAGCTTTCTTTTGATAGAGCAGTTTTGAAACACTCTTTTTGTAATATCTGTAAGAGGATATTTGGATAGCTTTGAGGATTTCGTTGGAAACGGGATTGTCTTCATATAAACTCTAGACAGAAGCATTCTCAGAAGCTTCATTGGGATGTTTCAATTGAAGTCACAGTGTTGAACAGTCCCTTTCATAGAGCAGGTTTGAAACACTCTTTTTGTAGTATCTGGATGTGGACATTTCGAGCGCTTTCAGGCCTATGGTGAAAAAGGAAATATCTTCCCCTGAAAACTAGACAGAAGCATTCTCAGAAACTTATTTGTGATGTGCGCCCTCAACTAACAGTGTTGAACCTTTCTTTTGATAGAGCAGTTTTGAAACACTCTTTTTGTAATATCTGCAAGAGGATAATTGGATAGCTTTGAGGATTTCGTTGGAAACGGGATTACATATAAAAAGCAGACAGCAGCATTCTCAGAAACTTATTTGTGATGTGCGCCCTCAACTAACAGTGTTGAAGCTTTCTTTTGATAGAGCAGTTTTGAAACACTCTTTTTGTAATATCTGCAAGAGGATATTTGGATAGCTTTGAGGATTTCGTTGGAAACGGGATTAATTATACAAAGCAGACAGCAGCATTCTCAGAAGCTTCATTGGGATGTTTCAATTGAAGTCACAGTGTTGAACAGTCCCTTTCGTAGAGCAGGTTTGAAACACTCTTTTTGTAATATCTGGAAGTGGACATTTGGAGCGTTCTCAGGACTATGGTGAAAAAGGAAATATCTTCCAATAAAAGCTAGATAGAAGCAATGTCAGAAACTTTTTCATGATGTATCTACTCAGCTAACAGAGTTGAACCTTCCTTTGAGAGATCAGTTTTGAAACACTCTTTTTGTGGAATCTGCAAGTGGATATTTGTCTAGCTTTGAGGATTTCGTTGGAAACGGGTTACATATATAAAGCAGACAGCAGCATTCCCAGAAACTTCTTTGTGTTGTTTGCATTCAAGTCACAGAGTTGAACATTCCCTTTCATAGAGCAGGTTTGAAACACTCTTTTTATAGTATCTGGATGTGGACATTTGCAGCGCTTTCAGGCCTAAGGTGAAAAAGGAAATATCTTCCCCTGAAAACTAGACAGAAGCATTCTCAGAAACTTATTTGTGATGTGCGCCCTCAACTAACAGTGTTAAACCTTTCTTTTGATAGAGTAGTTTTGAAACACTCTTTTTGTAAAATCTGCAAGAGGATATTTGGATAGCTTTGAGGATTTCGTTGGAAACGGGATTGTCTTCATATAAACTCTAGACAGTAGCATTCTCAGAAGCTTCATTGGGATGTTTCAACTGAAGTCACAGTGTTGAACAGTACCTTTCATAGAGCAGGTTTGAAACACTCTTTTTGTAGTATACTGGAAGTGGACATTTGGAGCGCTCTCAGGACTACGGTGAAAAAGGAAATATCTTCCAATAAAAGCTAGATAGAAGCATTCTCAGAAACTTATTTGTGATGTGCCCCCTCAACTAACAGTGTTGAAGCTTTCTTTTGATAGAGCAGTTTTGAAACACTCTTTTTGTGGAATCTGCAAGTGGATATTTGTCTAGCTTTGAGGATTTCGTTGGAAACGGGATTACATATAAAAAGCAGACAGCAGCATTCTCAGAAACTTATTTGTGATGTGCGCCCTCAACTAACAGTGTTGAAGCTTTCTTTTGATAGAGCAGTTTTGAAACACTCTTTTTGTAATATCTGCAAGAGGATATTTGGATAGCTTTGAGGATTTCGTTGGAAACGGGATTAATTATACAAAGCAGACAGCAGCATTCTCAGAAGCTTCATTGGGATGTTTCAATTGAAGTCACAGTGTTGAACAGTCCCTTTCATAGAGCAGGTTTGAAACACTCTTTTTGTAGTATCTGGAAGTGGACATTTGGAGCGCTCTCAGGACTGCGGTGAAAAAGGAAATATCTTCCAATAAAAGCTAGATAGAAGCAATGTCAGAAACTTTTTCATGATGTATCTACTCAGCTAACAGAGTTGAACCTTTCTTTTGAGAGAGCAGTTTTGAAACACTCTTTTTGTGGAATCTGCAAGTGGATATTTTTCTAGCTTTGAGGATTTCGTTGGAAACGGGATTACATATAAAAAGCAGACAGCAGCATTCCCAGAAACTTCTTTGTGATGTTTGCATTCAAGTCACAGAGTTGAACATTCCCTTTCATAGAGCAGGTTTGAAACACTCTTTTTGTAGTATCTGGATGTGGACATTTGGAGCGCTTTCAGGCCTATGGTGAAAAAGGAAATATCTTCCCCTGAAAACTAGACAGAAGCATTCTCAGAATCTTATTTGTGATGTGCGCCCTCAACTAACAGTGTTGAAGCTTTCTTTTGATAGAGCAGTTTTGAAACCCTCTTTTCGTAAAATCTGCAAGAGGATATTTTGATAGCTTTGAGGATTTCGTTGGAAACGGGATTGTCTTCATATAAACTCTAGACAGTAGCATTCTCAGAAGCTTCATTGGGATGTTTCAATTAAAGTCACAGTGTTGAACAATCCCTTTCATAGAGCAGGTTTGAAACACTCTTTTTGTAGTATCTTGAAGTGGACATTTGGAACGCTCTCAGGACTGCGGTGAAAAAGGAAATATCTTCCAATAAAAGCTAGATAGAAGCAATGTCAGAAACTTTTTCATGATGTATCTACTCAGCTAACAGAGTTGAAACTTCATTTGAGAGAGCAGTTTTGAAACACTCGTTTTGTGGAATCTGCAAGTGGATACTTGTCTAGCTTTGAGGATTTCGTTGGAAACGGGATTACATATAAAAAGCAGACAGCAGCATTCCCAGTAACTTCTTTGTGATGTTTGCATTCAAGTCACAGAGTTGAACATTCCCTTTCATAGAGCAGGTTTGAAACACTTTTTTTGTAGTATCTGGATGTGGACATTTGGAGCGCTTTCAGGCCTATGGTGAAAAAGGAAATATCTTCCAATAAAAGCTACATAAAAGCAATGTCAGAAACTTTTTCATGATGTATCTACTCAGCTAACAGAGTTGAACCTTTCTTTTGAGAGAGCAGTTTTGAAACACTCTTTTTGTAAAATCTGCAAGAGGATATTTGGATAGCTTTGAGGATTTCGTTGGAAACGGGATTGTCTTCATATAAACTCTAGACAGAAGCATTCTCAGAAGCTTCATTGGGATGTTTCAATTGAAGTCACAGTGTTGAACAGTCGCTTTCATAGAGCAGGTTTGAAACACTCTTTTTGTAGTATCTGGAAGTGGACATTTGGAACGCTCTCAGGACTGCGGTGAAAAAGGAAATATCTTCCAATAAAAGCTAGATAGAAGCAATGTCAGAAACTTTTTCATGATGTATCTACTCAGCTAACAGAGTTGAACCTTTCTTTTGAGAGAGCAGTTTTGAAACACTCGTTTTGTGGAATCTGCAAGTGGATATTTGTCTACCTTTGAGGATTTCGTTGGAAACGGGATTACATATAAAAAGCAGACAGCAGCATTCCCAGAAACTTCTTTGTGATGTTTGCATTCAAGTCACAGAGTTGAACATTCCCTTTCATAGAGCAGGTTTGAAACACTCTTTTTGTAGTATCTGGATGTGGACATTTGCAGCGCTTTCAGGCCTAAGGTGAAAAAGGAAATATCTTCCCCTGAAAACTAGACAAAAGCATTCTCAGAATCTTATTTGTGATGTGCGCCCTCAACTAACAGTGTTGAAGCTTTCTTTTGATAGAGCAGTTTTGAAACACTCTTTTTGTAAAATCTGCAAGAGGATATTTGGATAGCTTTGAGGATTTCGTTGGAAACGGGATTGTCTTCATATAAAATCTAGACAGAAGCATTCTCAGAAGCTTCATTGGGATGTTTCAATTGAAGTCACAGTGTTGAACAGTCCCTTTCATAGAGCAGGTTTGAAACACTCTTTTTGTAATATCTGGAAGTGGACATTTGGAGCGCTCTCAGGAATACGGTGAAAAAGGAAATATCTTCCAATAAAAGCTAGATAGAAGCAATGTCAGAAACTTTTTCATGATGTATCTACTCAGCTAACAGAGTTGAAGCTTTCTTTTGAGAGAGGAGTTTTGAAACACTCTTTTTGTGGAATCTGCAAGTGGATATTTGTCTAGCTTTGAGGATTTCGTTGGAAACGGGATTATATATAAAAAGCAGACAGCAGCATTCCCAGAAATTTCTTTGTGATGTTTGCATTCAGGTCACAGCAGTTGAACATTCCCTTTCTTAGAGCAGGTTTGAAACACTCTTTTTGTAGTATCTGGATGTGGACATTTGGAGCGCTTTCAGGCCTATGGTGAAAAAGGGAATATGTTCCCCTGAAAACTAGACAGAAGCATTCTCAGAATCTTATTTGTGATGTGCGCCCTCAACTAACAGTGTTGAAGCTCTCTTTTGATAGAGCAGTTTTGAAACACACTTTTTGTAAAATCTGCAAGAGGATATTTGATTAGCTTTGAGGATTACGTTGGAAACGGGATTGTCTTCATATAAACTCTAGACAGAAGCATTCTCAGAAGCTTCATTGGGATGTTTCAATTGAAGTCACAGTGTTGAACAGTCCCTTTCATAGAGCAGGTTTGAAACACTCTTTTTGTAGTATCTGGATGTGGACATTTGGAGCGCTTTCAGGCCTATGGTTTAAAAGGAAATATCTTCCCCTGAAAACTAGACAGAAGCATTCTCAGAAACTTATTTGTGATGTGAGTACTCAACTAAGAGAGTTGAACCTTTCTTTTGAGAGAGCAGTTTTGAAACACTCTTTTTGTGGAATCTGCAAGTGGATATTTGTCTAGCTTTGAGGATTTCGTTCGAAACGGGATTACATATAAAAAGCAGACAGCAGCATTCCCAGAATCTTCTTTGTGATGTTTGCATTCAAGTCACAGAGTTGAACATTCCCTTTCATAGAGCAGGTTTGAAACACTCTTTTTGTAGTATCTGGATGTGGACATTTGGAGCGCTTTCAGGCCTATGGTGAAAAAGGATATATCTTCCCCTGAAAACTACACAGAAGCATTCTCAGAAGCTTCATTGGGATGTTTCAATTGAAGTCACAGTGTTGAACAGTCCCTTTCATAGAGCAGGTTTGAAACACTCTTTTTGTAGTATCTGGAAGTGGACATTTGGAGCGCTCTCAGGACTACGGTGAAAAAGGAAATATCTTCCAATAAAAGCTACATAGAAGCAATGTCAGAGAATTTTTCATGATGTATCTACTCAGCTAACAGAGTTGAACCTTTCTTTTGAGAGAGCCGTTTTGAAACACTCTTTTTGTGGAATCTGCAAGTGGATATTGGTCTAGCTTTGAGGATTTCGTTGGAAACGGGATTACATAGAAAAAGGAGACAGCAGCATTCCCAGAAACTTCTTTGTGATATTTGCATTCAAGTCACAGACTTGAACATTCCCTTTCATAGAGCAGGTTTGAAACACTCTTTTTGTAGTATCTGGATGTGGACATTTGGAGCGCTTTCAGGCCTATGGTGAAAAAGGAAATATCTTCCCCTGAAAACTAGACAGAAGCATTCTCAGAAACTTATTTGTGATGTGCGCCCTCAACTAACAGTGTTGAACCTTTCTTTTGATAGAGCAGTTTTGAAACACTCTTTTTGTAAAATCTGCAAGAGGATATTTGGATAGCTTTGAGGATTTCGTTGGAAACGGGATTGTCTTCATATAAACTCTAGAGAGAAGCATTCTCAGAAGCTTCATTGGGATGTTTCAATTGAAGTCACAGTGTTGAACAGTCCCTTTCATAGAGCAGGTTTGAAACACTCTTTTTTTAGTATCTGGATGTGGACATTTGGAGCGTTTTCAGGCCTATGGTGAAAAAGGAAATATCTTCCCCTGAAAACTAGACAGAAGCATTCTCAGAAACTTATTTGTGATGTGCGCCCTCAACTAACAGTGTTGAAGCATTCTTTTGATAGAGCAGTTTTGAAACACTCTTTTTGTGGAATCTGCAAGTGGATATTTGTCTAGCTTTGAGGATTTCGTTGGAAACGGGATTACATATAAAAAGCAGACAGCAGCATTCTCAGAAACTTATTTGTGATGTGCGCCCTCAACTAACAGTGTTGAAGCTTTATTTTGATAGAGCAGTTTTGAAACACTCTTTTTGTAATATCTGCAAGAGAATATTTGGATAGCTTTGAGGATTTCGTTGGAAACGGGATTGTCTTCATATAAACTCTAGAAAGAAGCATTCTCAGAAGCTTCATTGGGATGTTTCAATTGAAGTCACAGTGTTGAACAGTCCCTTTCATAGAGCAGGTTTGAAACACTCTTTTTGTAGTATCTGGAAGTGGACATTTGGAGCGCTCTCAGGACTACGGTGAAAAAGGAAATATCTTCCAATAAAAGCTAGATAGAAGCAATGTCAGAAACTTTTTCATGATGTATCTACTCAGCTAACAGAGTTGAACCTTTCTTTTGAGAGAGCAGTTTTGAAACACTCTTTTTGTAAAATCTGCAAGAGGATATTTGGATAGCTTTGAGGATTTCGTTGGAAACGGGATTACATATAAAAAGCAGACAGCAGCATTCCCAGAAACTTCTTTGTGATGTTTGCATTCAAGTCACAGAGTTGAACATTCCCTTTCATAGAGCAGGTTTGAAACACTCTTTTTGTAGTATCTGGATGTGGACATTTGCAGCGCTTTCAGGCCTAAGGTGAAAAAGGAAATATCTTCCCCTGAAAACTAGACAAAAGCATTCTCAGAAACTTATTTGTGATGTGCGCCCTCAACTAACAGTGTTGAACCTTTCTTTTGATAGAGCAGTTTTGAAACACTCTTTTTGTAATATCTGCAAGAGGATATTTGGATAGCTTTGAGGATTTCGTTGGAAACGGGATTGTCTTCATATAAACTCTAGACAGAAGCATTCTCAGAAGCTTCATTGGGATGTTTCAATTGAAGTCACAGTGTTGAACAGTTCCTTTCATAGAACAGGTTTGAAACACTCTTTTTGTAGTATCTGGAAGTGGACATTTGGAGCGCTCTCAGGACTATGGTGAAAAAGGTAATATCTTCCAATAAAAGCTACATAGAAGCAATGTCAGAAACTTTTTCATGATGTATCTACTCAGCTAACAGAGTTGAACCTTTCCTTTGAGAGAGCAGTTTTGAAACACTCTTTTTGTGGAATCTGCAAGTGGATATTTGTCTAGCTTTGAGGATTTCGTTGGAAACGGGATTACATATAAAAAGCAGACAGCAGCATTCCCGGAAACTTCTTTGTGATGTTTGCATTCAAGTCACAGAGTTGAACATTCCCTTTCATAGAGCAGGTTTGAAACACTCTTTTTGTAGTATCTGGATGTGGACATTTGGAGCGCTTTCAGGCCTATGGTGAAAAAGGAAATATCTTCCCCTGAAAACTAGACAGAAGCATTCTCAGAAACTTATTTGTGATGTGCGCCCTCAACTAACAGTGTTGAAGCTTTCTTTTGATAGAGCAGTTTTGAAACACTCTTTTTGTAATATCTGCAAGAGGATATTTGGATAGCTTTGAGGATTTCGTTGGAAACGGGATTGTCTTCATATAAACTCTAGACAGAAGCATTCTCAGAAGCTTCATTTGGATGTTTCAATTGAAGTCACAGTGTTGAACAGTCCCTTTCATAGAGCAGGTTTGAAACACTCTTTTTGTAGTATCTGGAAGTGGACATTTGGAGCGCTCTCAGGACTACGGTGATAAAGGAAATATCTTCCAATAAAAGCTAGATAGAAGCAATGTCAGAAACTTTTTCATGATGTATCTACTCAGCTAACACAGGTGAACCTTTCCTTTGAGAGAGCAGTTTTGAAACACTCTTTTTGTGGAATCTGCAAGTGGATATTTGTCTAGCTTTGAGGATTTCGTTGGAAACGGGATTACATATAAAAAGCAGACAGCAGCATTCCCAGAAACTTCTTTGTGACGTTTGCATTCAAGTCACAGAGTTGAACATTCCCTTTCATAGAGCAGGTTTGAAACACTCTTTTTGTAGTATCTGGATGTGGACATTTGGAGCGCTTTCAGGCCTATGGTGAAAAAGGAAATATCTTCCCCTGAAAACTAGACAGAAGCATTCTCAGAAACTTATTTGTGATGTGCGCCCTCAACTAACAGTGTTGAAGGTTTCTTTTGATAGAGCAGTTTTGAAACACTCTTTTTGTAATATCTGCAAGAGGATATTTGGATAGCTTTGAGGATTTCGTTGGAAACGGGATTGTCTTCATATAAACTCTAGACAGAAGCATTCTCAGAAGCCTCATTGGGATGTTTCAATTGAAGTCACAGTGTTGAACAGTCCCTTTGATAGAGCAGGTTTGAAACACCCTTTTTGTAGGATCTGGAAGTGGACATTTGGAGCGCTTTCAGGCCTATGGTGAAAAAGGAAATATCTTCCTCTGAAAACTAGACAGAAGCATTCTCAGAAACTTATTTGTGATGTGCGCCCTCAACTAACAGTGTTGAAGCTTTCTTTTGATAGAGCAGTTTTGAAACACTCTTTTTGTGGAATCTGCAAGTGGATATTTGTCTAGCTTTGAGGATTTCGTTGGAAACGGGATTACATATAAAAAGCAGACAGCAGCATTCTCAGAAACTTATTTGTGATGTGCGCCGTCAACTAACAGTGTTGAACCTTTCTATTGATAGAGTAGTTTTGAAACACGCTTTTTGTAAAATCTGCAAGAGGATATTTGGATAGCTTTGAGTATTTCGTTGGAAACGGGATTGTCTTCATATAAACTCTAGACAGTAGCATTCTGAGAAGCTTCATTGGGATGTTTCAATTGAAGTCACAGTGTTGAACAGTCCCTTTCATAGAGCAGGTTTGAAACACTCTTTTTGTAGCATCTGGAAGTGGACATTTGGAGCACTCTCAGGACTACGGTGAAAAAGGAAATATCTTCAAATAAAAGCTAGATAGAAGCAATGTGAGAAACTTTTTCATGATGTATCTACTCAGCTAAAACAGTTGAACCTTTCTTTTGAGAGAGCAGTTTTGAAACACTCTTTTTGTGGAATCTGCAAGTGGATATTTGTCTAGCTTTGAGGATTTCTTTGGAAACGGGATTACATATAAAAAGCAGACAGCAGCATTCCCAGAAACTTCTTTGTGATGTTTGCATTCAAGTCACAGAGTTGAACAATCCCTTTCATAGAGCAGGTTTGAAACACTCTTTTTGTAGTATCTGGATGTGGACATTTGGAGCGCTCTCAGGCCTATGGTGAAAAAGGAAATATCTTCCCCTGAAAACTAGACAGAAAGCATTCTCAGAATCTTATTTGTGATGTGCGCCCTCAACTAACAGTGTTGAAGCTTTCTTTTGATAGAGCAGTTTTGAAACACTCTTTTTGTAAAATCTGCAAGAGGATATTTGGATAGCTTTGAGGATTTCGTTGGAAACGGAATTGTCTTCATATAAACTCTAGACAGAAGCATTCTCAGAAGCTTCATTGGGATGTTTCAATTGAAGTCACAGTGTTGAACAGTCCCTTTCATAGAGCAGGTTTGAAACACTCTTTTTGTAGTATCTGGATGTGGACATTTGGAGCGCTTTCAGTCCTATGGTTTAAAAGGAAATATCTTCCCCTGAAAACTAGACAGAAGCATTCTCAGAAACTTACTTGTGATGTGCGCCCTCAACTAACAGTGTTGAACCTTTCTTTTGATAGAGCAGTTTTGAAACACTCTTTTTGTAATATCTGCAAGAGGATATTTGGATAGCTTTCAGGATTTCGTTGGAAACGGGATTACATATAAAAAGCAGACAGCAGCATTCTCAGTAAACTTATTTGTGATGTGCGCCCTCAACTAACAGTGTTGAACCTTTCTTTTGATAGAGCAGTTTTGAAACACTCTTTTTGTAATATCTGCAAGAGGATATTTGGATAGCTTTGAGGATTTCGTTGGAAACGGGATTGTCTTCATATAAACTCTAGACAGAAGCATTCTCAGAAGCTTCATTGGGATGTTTCAATTGAAGTCACAGTGTTGAACAGTCCCTTTCATAGAGCAGGTTTGAAACACTCTTTTTGTAGCATCTGGAAGTGGACATTTGGAGCATTCTCAGGACTACGGAGCAAAAGGAAATATCTTCCAATAAAAGCTACATAGAAGCAATATCAGAAACTTTTTCATGATGTATCTACTCAGCTAAAAGAGTTGAACCTTTCTTTTGAGAGAGCAGTTTTGAAACACTATTTTTGTGGAATCTGCAAGTGGATATTTGTCTAGCTTTGAGGATTGCGTTGGAAACGGGATTACATATAATAAGCAGACAGCAGCATTAACAGAAACTTCTTTGTGAAGTTTGCATTGAAGTCACAGAGTTGAACATTCCCTTTCATAGAGCAGGTTTGAAACACTCTTTTTGTAGTATCTGGATGTGGACATTTGGAGCGCTTTCAGGCCTATGGTGAAAAAGGAAATATCTTCCCCTGAAAACTAGACAGAAGCATTCTCAGAAACTTATTTGTGATGTGCGCCCTCAACTAACAGTGTTGAAGCTTTCTTTTGATAGAGCAGTTTTGAAACACTCTTTTTGTAATATCTGCAAGAGGATATTTGGATAGCTTTGAGGATTTCGTTGGAAACGGGATTGTCTTCATATAAACTACTAGACAGAAGCATTCTCAGAAGCTTCATTGGGATGTTTCAATTGAAGTCACAGTGTTGAACAGTCCCTTTCATAGAGCAGGTTTGAAACACTCTTTTTGTAGTATCTGGATGTGGACATTTGGAGCGCTTTCAGGCCTATGGTGAAAAAGGAAATATCTTCCCCTGAAAACTAGACAGAAGCATTCTCAGAAACTTATTTGTGATGTGCGCCCTCAACTAACAGTGTTGAAGCATTCTTTTGATAGAGCAGTTTTGAAACACTCTTTTTGTGGAATCTGCAAGTGGATATTTGTCTAGCTTTGAGGATTTCGTTCGAAACGGGATTACATATAAAAAGCAGACAGCAGCATTCTCAGTAAACTTATTTGTGATGTGCGCCCTCAACTAACAGTGTTGAACCTTTCTTTTGATAGAGCAGTTTTGAAACACTCTTTTTGTAATATCTGCAAGAGGATATTTGGATAGCTTTGAGGATTTCGTTGGAAACGGGATTGTCTTCATATAAACTCTAGACAGAAGCATTCTCAGAAGCTTCATTGGGATGTTTCAATTGAAGTCACAGTGTTGAACAGTCCCTTTCATAGCAGCAGGTTTGAAAAACTCTTTTTGTAGTATCTGGAAGTGGACATTTGGAGCGCTCTCAGGAATACGGTGAAAAAGGAAATATCTTCCAATAAAAGCTAGATAGAAGCAATGTCAGAAACTTTTTCATGATGTATCTACTCAGCTAACAGAGTTGAACCTTTCTTTTGAGAGAGCAGTTTTGAAACACTCTTTTTGTGGAATCTGCAAGTGGATATTTGTCTAGCTTTGAGGATTTCGTTGGAAACGGGATTACCTATAAAAAGCAGACAGCAGCATTCCCAGTAACTTCTTTGTGATGTTTGCATTCAAGTCACAGAGTTGAACATTCCCTTTCATAGAGCAGGTTTGAAACACTCTTTTTGTAGTATCTGGATGTGGACATTTGGAGCGCTTTCAGGCCTATGGTGAAAAAGGAAATATCTTCCCCTGAAAACTAGACAGAAGCATTCTCAGAATCTTATCTGTGATGTGCGCCCTCAACTAACAGTGTTGAAGCTTTCTTTTGATAGAGCAGTTTTGAAACACTCTTTTCGTAAAATCTGCAAGAGGATATTTTGATAGCTTTGAGGATTTCGTTGGAAACGGGATTGTCTTCATATAAACTCTAGACAGAAGCATTCTCAGAAGCATCATGGGGATGTTTCAATTGAAGTCACAATGTTGAACAGTCCCTTTCATAGAGCAGGATTGAAACACTCTTTTTGTAGTATCTGGATGTGGACATTTGAGCGCTTTCAGGCCTATGGTTTAAAAGGAAATATCTTCCCCTGAAAACTAGACAGAAGCATTCTCAGAAACTTATTTGTGATGTGCGCCCTCAACTAACAGTGTTGAAGCATTCTTTTGATAGAGCAGTTTTGAAACACTCTTTTTGTGGAATCTGCAAGTGGATATTTGTACTAGCTTTGAGGATTTCGTTGGAAACGGGATTACATATAAAAAGCAGACAGCAGCATTCCCAGAAACTTCTTTGTGATGTTTGCATTCAAGTCACAGAGTTGAACATTCCCTTTCATAGAGCAGGTTTGAAACACTCTTTTTGTAGTATCTGGATGTGGACATTTGGAGCGCTCTCAGGCCTATGGTGAAAAAGGAAATATCTTCCCCTGCAAACTAGACAGAAGCATTCTCAGAATCTTATTTGTGATGTGCGCCCTCAACTAACAGTGTTGAAGCTTTCTTTTGATAGAGCAGTTTTGAAACACTCTTTTTGTAAAATCTGCAAGAGGATATTTGGATAGCTTTGAGGATTTCGTTGGAAACGGGATTGTCTTCATATAAACTCTAGACAGAAGCATTCTCAGAAGCTTCATTGGGATGTTTCAATTGAAGTCACAGTGTTGAACAGTCCCTTTCATAGAGGAGGTTTGAAACACTCTTTTTGTAGTATCTGGAAGTGGACATTTGGAGCGCTCTCAGGACTACGGTGAAAAAGGAAATATCTTCCAATAAAAGCTAGATAGAAGCATTCTCAGAAACTTATTTGTGATGTGCGCCCTCAACTAACAGTGTTGAAGCTTTCTTTTGATAGAGCAGTTTTGAAACACTCTTTTTGTGGAATCTGCAAGTGGATATTTGTCTAGCTTTGAGGATTTCGTTGGAAACGGGATTACATATAAAAAGCAGACAGCAGCATTCTCAGAAACTTATTTGTGATGTGCGCCCTCAACTAACAGTGTTGAAGCTTTATTTTGATAGAGCAGTTTTGAAACACTCTTTTTGTAATATCTGCAAGAGAATATTTGGATAGCTTTGAGGATTTCGTTGGAAACGGGATTGTCTTCATATAAACTCTAGAAAGAAGCATTCTCAGAAGCTTCATTGGGATGTTTCAATTGAAGTCACAGTGTTGAACAGTCCCTTTCATAGAGCAGGTTTGAAACACTCTTTTTGTACTATCTGGAAGTGGACATTTGGAGCGCTCTCAGGACTACGGTGAAAAAGGAAATATCTTCCAATAAAAGCTAGATAGAAGCAATGTCAGAAACTTTTTCATGATGTATCTACTCAGCTAACAGAGTTGAACCTTTCTTTTGAGAGAGCAGTTTTGAAACACTCTTTTTGTGGAATCTGCAAGTGGATATTTGTCTAGCTTTGAGGATTTCGTTGGAAACGGGATTACATATAAAAAGCAGACAGCAGCATTCCCAGAAACTTCTTTGTGATGTTTGCATTCAAGTCACAGAGCTGAACATTCCCTTTCATAGAGCAGGTTTGAAACTCTCTTTTTGTAGTATCTGGATGTGGACATTTGGAGCGCTTTCAGGCCTATGGTGAAAAAGGAAATATCTTCCCCTGAAAACTAGACAGAAGCATTCTCAGAAACTTATTTGTGATGTGCGCCCTCAACTAACAGTGTTGAACCTTTCTTTTGATAGAGCAGTTTTGAAACACTCTTTTTGTAATATCTGCAAGAGGATATTTGGATAGCTTTGAGGATTTCGTTGGAAACGGGATTGTCTTCATATAAACTCTAGACAGAAGCATTCTCAGAAGCGTCATTGGGATGTTTCAATTGAAGTCACAGTGTTGAACAGTCCCTTTCATAGAGCAGGTTTGAAACACTCTTTTTGTAGTATCTGGATGTGGACATTTGGAGCGCTTTCAGGCCTATGGTTTAAAAGGAAATATCTTCCCCTGAAAACTAGACAGAAGCATTCTCAGAAACTTATTTGTGATGTGCGCCCTCAACTAACAGTGTTGAAGCATTCTTTTGATAGAGCAGTTTTGAAACACTCTTTTTGTGGAATCTGCAAGTGGATATTTGTCTAGCTTTGAGGATTTCGTTGGAAACGGGATTACATATAAAAAGCAGACAGCAGCATTCTCAGAAACTTATTTGTGATGTGCGCCCTCAACTAACAGTGTTGAAGCTTTATTTTGATAGAGCAGTTTTGAAACACTCTTTTTGTAATATCTGCAAGAGAATATTTGGATAGCTTTGAGGATTTCGTTGGAAACGGGATTGTCTTCATATAAACTCTAGAAAGAAGCATTCTCAGAAGCTTCATTGGGATGTTTCAATTGAAGTCACAGTGTTGAACAGTTCCTTTCATAGAACAGGTTTGAAACACTCTTTTTGTAGTATCTGGAAGTGGACATTTGGAGCGCTCTCAGGACTACGGTGAAAATGGAAATATCTTCCAATAAAAGCTACATAGAAGCAATGTGAGAAACTTTTTCATGATGTATGTACTCAGCTAAAAGAGTTGAACCTTTCTTTTGAGAGAGCAGTTTTGAAACACTCTTTTTGTGGAATCTGCAAGTGGATATTTGTCTAGCTTTGAGGATTTCTTTGGAAACGGGATTACATATAAAAAGCAGACAGCAGCATTCCCAGAAACTTCTTTGTGAAGTTTGCATTCAAGTCACAGAGTTGAACATTCCCTTTCATAGAGCAGGTTTGAAACACTCTTTTTGTAGTATCTGTATGTGGACATTTGGAGCGCTTTCAGGCCTATGGTGAAAAAGGAAATATCTTCCCCTGAAAACTAGACAGAAGCATTCTCAGAAACTTATTTGTGATGTGCGCCCTCAACTAACAGTGTTGAACCTTTCTTTTGATAGAGCAGTTTTGAAACACTCTTTTTGTAATATCTGCAAGAGGATATTTGGATAGCTTTGAGGATTTCGTTGGAAACGGGATTGTCTTCATATAAACTCTAGACAGAAGCATTCTCAGAAGCTTCATTGGGATGTTTCAATTGAAGTCACAGTGTTGAACAGTCCCTTTCATAGAGCAGGTTTGAAACACTCTTTTTGTAGTATCTGGATGTGGACATTTCGAGCGCTTTCAGGCCTATGGTGAAAAAGGAAATATCTTCCCCTGAAAACTAGACAGAAGCATTCTCAGAAACTTATTTGTGATGTGCAGCCCTCAACTAACAGTGTTGAAGCTTTCTTTTGATAGAGCAGTTTTGAAACACTCTTTTTGTGGAATCTGGAAGTGGATATTTGTCTAGCTTTGAGTATTTCGTTGGAAACGGGATTACATATAAAAAGCAGACAGCAGCATTCTCAGTAAACTTATTTGTGATGTGCGCCCTCAACTAACAGTGTTGAACCTTTCTTTTGATAGAGCAGTTTTGAAACACTCTTTTTGTAATATCTGCAAGAGGATATTTGGATAGCTTTGAGGATTTCGTTGGAAACGGGATTGTCTTCATATAAACTCTAGACAGAAGCATTCTCAGAAGGTTCATTGGGATGTTTCAATTGAAGTCACAGTGTTGAACAGTCACTTTCATAGAGCAGGTTTGAAACACTCTTTTTGTAGCATCTGGAAGTGGACATTTGGAGCGCTCTCAGGACTACGGTGAAAAAGGAAATATCTTCCAATAAAAGCTAGATAGAAGCATTCTCAGAAACTTATTTGTGATGTGCGCCCTCAACTAACAGTGTTGAAGCATTCTTTTGATAGAGCAGTTTTGAAACACTCTTTTTGTGGAATCTGCAAGTGGATATTTTTCTAGCTTTGAGGATTTCGTTGGAAACGGGATTACTTATAAAAAGCAGACAGCAGCATTCCCAGAAACTTCTTTGTGAAGTTTGCATTCAAGTCACAGAGTTGAACATTCCCTTTCATAGAGCAGGTTTGAAACACTCTTTTTGTAGTATCTGGATGTGGACATTTGGAGCGCTTTCAGGCCTATGGTGAAAAAGGAAATATCTTCCCCTGAAAACTATACAGAAGAATTCTTAGAATCTTATTTGTGATGTGCGCACTCAACTAACAGTGTTGAAGCTTTCTTTTGATAGAGCAGTTTTGAAACACTCTTTTTGTAAAATCTGCAAGAGGATATTTGGATAGCTTTGAGGATTTCGTTGGAAACGGGATTGTCTTCATATAAACTCTAGACAGAAGCATTCTCAGAAGCTTCATATGGGATGTTTCAATTGAAGTCACAGTGTTGAACAGTCCCTTTCATAGAGCAGGTTTGAAACACTCTTTTTGTAGTATCTGGATGTGGACATTTGCAGCGCTTTCAGGCCTAAGGTGAAAAAGGAAATATCTTCCCCTGAAAACTAGACAGAAGCATTCTCAGAAACTTATTTGTGATGTGCGCCCTCAACTAACAGTGTTGAAGCTTTCTTTTGATAGAGCAGTTTTGAAACACTCTTTTTGTGGAATCTGCAAGTGGATATTTGTCTAGCTTTGAGGATTTCGTTGGAAACGGGATTACATATAAAAAGCAGACAGCAGCATTCTCAGAAACTTATTTGTGATGTGCGCCCTCAACTAACAGTGTTGAAGCTTTCTTTTGATAGAGCAGTTTTGAAACACTCTTTTTGTAATATCTGCAAGAGGATATTTGGATAGCTTTGAGGATTTCGTTGGAAACGGGATTAATTATACAAAGCAGACAGCAGCATTCTCAGAAGCTTCATTGGGATGTTTCAATTGAAGTCACAGTGTTGAACAGCCCCTTTCATAGAGCAGGTTTGAAACACTCTTTTTGTAGTATCTGGAAGTGGACATTTGGTGAGATCTCAGGACTACGGTGGAAAAGGAAATATCTTCCAATAAAAGCTAGATAGAAGCAATGTCAGAAACTTTTTCATGATGTATCTACTCAGCTAACAGAGTTGAACCTTTCTTTTGAGAGAGCAGTTTTGAAACACTCTTTTTGTGGAATCTGCAAGTGGATATTTGTCTAGCTTTGAGGATTTCGTTGGAAACGGGATTACATATAAAAAGCAGACAGCAGCATTCCCAGAATCTTCTTTGTGATATTTGCATTCAAGTCACAGAGTTGAACATTCCCTTTCATAGAGCAGGTTTCAAACACTCTTTTTGTAGTATCTGGATGTGGACATTTGCAGCGCTTTCAGGCCTAAGGTGAAAAAGGAAATATCTTCCCCTGAAAACTAGACAGAAGCATTCTCAGAAACTTATTTGTGATGTGCGCCCTCAACTGACAGTGTTGAAGCTTTCTTTTGATAGAGCAGTTTTGAAACACTCTTTTTGTAATATCTGCAAGAGGATATTTGGATAGCTTTGAGGATTTCGTTGGAAACGGGATTGTCTTCATATAAACTCTAGACAGAAGCATTCTCAGAAGCTTCATTGGGATGTTTCAATTGAAGTCACAGTGTTGAACAGTCCCTTTCATAGAGCAGGTTTGAAACACTCTTTTTGTAGTATCTGGATGTGGACATTTAGAGCGCTTTCAGGCCTATGGTGAAAAAGGAAATATCTTCCCCTGAAAACTAGACAGAAGCATTCTCAGAAACTTATTTGTGATGTGCGCCCTCAACTAAGAGTGTTGAAGCATTCTTTTGAGAGAGCAGTTTTGAAACACTCTTTTTGTGGAATCTGCAAGTGGATATTTGTCTAGCTTTGAGGATTTCGTTGGAAACGGGATTACATATAAAAAGCAGACAGCAGCATTCTCAGAAACTTATTTGTGATGTGCGCCCTCAACTAACAGTGTTGAAGCTTTCTTTTGATAGAGCAGTTTTGAAACACTCTTTTTGTAATATCTGCAAGAGGATATTTGGATAGCTTTGAGGATTTCGTTGGAAACGGGATTAATTATACAAAGCAGACAGCAGCATTCTCAGAAGCTTCATTGGGATGTTTCAATTGAAGTCACAGTGTTGAACAGTCCCTTTCATAGAGCAGGTTTGAAACACTCTTTTTGTAGTATCTGGAAGTGGACATTTGGAGCGCTCTCAGGACTGCGGTGAAAAAGGAAATATCTTCCAATAAAAGCTAGATAGAAGCAATGTCAGAAACTTTTTCATGATGTATCTACTCAGCTAACAGAGTTGAACCTTCATTTGAGAGAGCAGTTTTGAAACTCTCGTTTTGTGGAATCTGCAAGTGGATATTTGTCTAGCTTTGAGGATTTCGTTGGAAACGGGATTACATATAAAAAGCAGACAGCAGCATTCCCAGAAACTTCTTTGTGATGTTTGCATTCAAGTCACAGATTTGAACATTCCCTTTCATAGAGCAGGTTTGAAACACACTTTTTGTAGTATCTGTATGTGGACATTTGGAGCGCTTTCAGGCCTATGGTGAAAAAGGAAATATCTTCCCCTGAAAACTAGACAGAAGCATTCTCAGAAACTTATTTGTGATGTGCGCCCTCAACTAACAGTGTTGAACCTTTCTTTTGATAGAGCAGTTTTGAAACACTCTTTTTGTAATATCTGCAAGAGGATATTTGGATAGCTTTGAGGATTTCGTTGGAAACGGGATTGTCTTCATATAAACTCTAGACAGAAGCATTCTCAGAAGCTTCATTGGGATGTTTCAATTGAAGTCACACTGTTGAACAGTTCCTTTCATAGAACAGGTTTGAAACACTCTTTTTGTAGTATCTGGAAGTGGACATTTGGAGCGCTCTCAGGACTACGGTGAAAAAGGAAATATCTTCCAATAAAAGCTACATAGAAGCAATGTCAGAAACTTTTTCATGATGTATCTACTCAGCTAACAGAGTTGAACCTTTCTTTTGAGAGAGCAGTTTTGAAACACTCTTTTTGTGGAATCTGCAAGTGGATATTTGTCTAGCTTTGAGGATTTCGTTGGAAACGGGATTACATATAAAAAGCAGACAGCAGCATTCCCAGAATCTTGTTTGTGATGTTTGCATTCAAGTCACAGAGTTGAACATTCCCTTTCAGAGAGCAGGTTTGAAACACTCTTTTTATAGTATCTGGATGTGGACATTTGGAGCGCTTTCAGGCCTATGGTGTAAAAGGAAATATCTTCTCCTGAAAACTAGACAGAAGCATTCTCAGAATCTTATTTGTGATGTGCGCCCTCAACTAACAGTGTTGAAGCTTTCTTTTGATAGAGCAGTTTTGAAACACTCTTTTTGTAAAATCTGCAAGAGGATATTTGGATAGCTTTGAGGATTTCGTTGGAAACGGGATTGTCTTCATATAAACTCTAGACAGAAGCATTCTCAGAAGCGTCATTGGGATGTTTCAATTGAAGTCACAGTGTTGAACAGTCCCTTTCATAGAGCAGGTTTGAAACACTCTTTTTGTAGTATCTGGATGTGGACATTTGGAGCGCTTTAAGCCTATGGTTTAAAAGGAAATATCTTCCCCTGAAAACTAGACAGAAGCATTCTCAGAAACTTATTTGTGATGTGCGCCCTCAACTAAGAGTGTTGAAGCATTCTTTTGATAGAGCAGTTTTGAAACACTCTTTTTGTGGAATCTGCAAGTGGATATTTGTCTAGCTTTGAGGATTTCGTTGGAAACGGGATTAATTATAAAAAGCAGACAGCAGCATTCCCAGAAACTTCTTTGTGATGTTTGCATTCAAGTCACAGAGTTGAACATTCCCTTTCATAGAGCAGGTTTGAAACACTCTTTTTGTAGTATCTGGATGTGGACATTTGGAGCGCTTTCAGGCCTATGGTGAAAAAGGAAATATCTTCCCCTGAAAACTAGACAGAAGCATTCTCAGAATCTTATTTGTGATGTGCGCCCTCAACTAACAGAGTTGAAGCTTTCTTTTGATAGAGCAGTTTTGAAACACTCTTTTTGTAAAATCTGCAAGAGGATATTTGGATAGCTTTGAGGATTTCGTTGGAAACGGGATTGTCTTCATATAAACTCTAGACAGAAGCATTCTCAGAAGCTTCATTGGGATGTTTCAATTGAAGTCACAGTGTTGAACAGTCCCTTTCATAGAGCAGGTTTGAAACACTCTTTTTGTAGTATCTGGATGTGGACATTTGGAGCGCTTTCAGGCCTATGGTTTAAAAGGAAATATCTTCCCCTGAAAACTAGACAAAAGCATTCTCAGAATCTTATTTGTGATGTGCGCCCTCAACTAACAGTGTTGAAGCTTTCTTTTGACAGAGCAGTTTTGAAACACTCTTTTTATCTGCAAGTGGATATTTGTCTAGATTTGAGGATTTCGTTGGAAACGGGATTACATATAAAAAGCAGACAGCAGCATTCTCAGAAACTTATTTGTGATGTGCGCCCTCAACTAACAGTGTTGAAGCTTTATTTTGATAGAGCAGTTTTGAAACACTCTTTTTGTAATATCTGCAAGAGAATATTTGGATAGCTTTGAGGATTTCGTTGGAAACGGGATTGTCTTCATATAAACTCTAGAAAGATAGCATTCTCAGAAGCTTCATTGGGATGTTTCAATTGAAGTCACAGTGTTGAACAGTCCCTTTCATAGAGCAGGTTTCAAACACTCTTTTTGTAGCATCTGGAAGTGGACATTTGGAGCGTTCTCAGGACTACGGTGAAAAAGGAAATATCTTCCAATAAAAGCTAGATAGAAGCAATGTCAGAAACTTTTTCATGATGTATCTACTCAGCTAACAGAGTTGAACCTTTCTTTTGAGAGAGCAGTTTTGAAACACTCTTTTTGTGGAATCTGCAAGTGGATATTTGTCTAGCATTGAGGATTTCGTTGGAAACGGGATTACATATAAAAAGCAGACAGCAGCATTCCCAGAAACTTCTTTGTGATGTTTGCATTCAAGTCACACAGTTGAACATTCCCTTTCATAGAGCAGGTTTGAAACACTCTTTTTGTAGTATCTGGATGTGGACATTTGGAGCGCTTTCAGGTCTATGGTGAAAAAGGAAATATCTTCCCCTGAAAACTAGACAGAAGCATTCTCAGAAACTTATTTGTGATGTGCGCCCTCAACTAACAGTGTTGAACCTTTCTTTTGATAGAGCAGTTTTGAAACACCCTTTTTGTAAAATCTGCAAGAGGATATTTGGATAGCTTTGAGGATTTCGTTGGAAACGGGATTGTCTTCATATAAACTCTAGACTGAAGCATTCTCAGAAGCTTCATTGGGATGTTTCAATTGAAGTCACAGTGTTGAACAGTCCCTTTCATAGAGCAGGTTTCAAACACTCTTTTTGTAGTATCTGGATGTGGACATTTGGAGCGCTTTCAGGCCTATGGTTTAAAAGGAAATATCTTCCCCTGAAAACTAGACAGAAGCATTCTCAGAAACTTATTTGTGATGTGCGCCCTCAACTAACAGTGTTGAAGCATTCTTTTGATAGGGCAGTTTTGAAAAACTCTTTTTGTGGAATCTGCAAGTGGATATTTGTCTAGCTTTGAGGATTTCGTTGGAAACGGGATTACATATAAAAAGCAGACAGCAGCATTCTCAGCAAACTTATTTGTGATGTGCGCCCTCAACTAACAGTGTGGAACTTTTCTTTTGATAGAGCAGTTTTGAAACACTCTTTTTGTAAAATCTGCAAGAGGATATTTGGATAGCTTTGAGGATTTCGTTGGAAACGGGATTGTCTTCATATAGAATCTAGACAGAAGCATTCTCAGAAGCTTCATTGGGATGTTTCAATTGAAGTCACAGTGTTGAACAGTCCCTTTCATAGAGCAGGTTTGAAACACTCTTTTTGTAGTTTCTGGAAGTGGACATTTGGAGAGATCTCTGGACTACGGTGAAAAAGGAAATATCTTCCAATAAAAGCTAGATAGAAGCAATGTCAGAAACTTTTTCATGATGTATCTACTCAGCTAACAGAGTTGAACCTTTCTTTTGAGAGAGCAGTTTTGAAACACTCTTTTTGTGGAATCTGCAAGTGGATATTTGTCTAGCTTTGAGGATTTCGTTGGAAACGGGATTACATATAAAAAGCAGACAGCAGCATTCCCAGTAACTTCTTTGTGATGTTTGCATTCAAGTCACAGAGTTGAACATTCCCTTTCATAGAGCAGGTTTGAAACACTCTTTTTGCAGTATCTGGATGTGGACATTTGGAGCGCTTTCAGGCCTATGGTGAAAAAGGAAATATCTTCCCCTGAAAACTAGACAGAAGCATTCTCAGAAACTTATTTGTGATGTGCGCCCTCAACTAACAGTGTTGAAGCTTTCTTTTGATAGAGCAGTTTTGAAACACTCTTTTTGTAATATCTGCAAGAGGATATTTGGATAGCTTTGAGGATTTCGTTGGAAACGGGATTGTCTTCATATAAACTCTAGACAGAAGCATTCTCAGAAGCTTCATTGGGATGTTTCAATTGAAGTCACAGTGTTGAACAGTCCCTTTCATAGAGCAGGTTTGAAACACTCTTTTTGTAGTATCTGGATGTGGACATTTGGAGCGCTTTCAGGCCTATGGTGAAAAAGGAAATATCTTCCCCTGAAAACTAGACAGAAGCATTCTCAGAAACTTATTTGTGATGTGCGCCCTCAACTAACAGTGTTGAACCTTTCTTTTGATAGAGCAGTTTTGAAACACTCTTTTTGTAATATCTGCAAGAGGATATTTGGATAGCTTTGAGGATTTCGTTGGAAACGGGATTACATATAAAAAGCAGACAGCAGCATTCTCAGAATCTTATTTGTGATGTGCGCCCTCAACTAACAGTGTTGAAGCTTTCTTTTGATAGAGCAGTTTTGGAACACTCTTTTTGTAAAATCTGCAAGAGGATATTTGGATAGCTTTGAGGATTTCGTTGGAAACGGTATTGTCTTCATATAAACTCTAGACAGAAGCATTCTCAGAAGCTTCATTGGGATGTTTCAATTGAAGTCACAGTGTTGAACAGTCCCTTTCATAGAGTAGGTTTGAAACACCCTTTTTCGTAGGATCTGGAAGTGGACATTTGGAGAGATCTCAGGAATACGGTGACAAAGGAAATATCTTCCAATAAAAGCTAGATAGAAGCAATGTCAGAAACTTTTTCATGATGTATCTACTCAGCTAACAGAGTTGAACCTTTCTTTTGAGAGAGCAGTTTTGAAACACTCTTTTTGTGGAATCTGGAAGTGGATATTTGTCTAGCTTTGAGGATTTCGTTGGAAACGGGATTACATATAAAAAGCAGACAGCGGCATTCCCAGAAACTTCTTTGTGATGTTTGCATTCAAGTCACAGAGTTGAACATTCCCTTTCATAGAGCAGGTTTGAAACACTCTTTTTGTAGTATCTGGATGTGGACATTTGCAGCGCTTTCAGGCCTAAGGTGAAAAAGGAAATATCTTCCCCTGAAAACTAGACAGAAGCATTCTCAGAAACTTATTTGTGATGTGCGCCCTCAACTAACAGTGTTGAAGCTTTCTTTTGATAGAGCAGTTTTGAAACACTCTTTTTGTGGAATCTGCAAGTGGATATTTGTCTAGCTTTGAGAATTTCGTTGGAAACGGGATTACATATAAAAAGCAGACAGCAGCATTCTCAGAAACTTATTTGTGATGTGCGCCCTCAACTAACAGTGTTGAAGCTTTCTTTTGATAGAGCAGTTTTGAAACACTCTTTTTGTAATATCTGCAAGAGGATATTTGGATAGCTTTGAGGATTTCGTTGGAAACGGGATTAATTATACAAAGCAGACAGCAGCATTCTCAGAAGCATCATTGGGATGTTTCAATTGAAGTCACAGTGTTGAACAGTCCCTTTCATAGAGCAGGTTTGAAACACTCTTTTTGTAGTATCTGGAAGTGGACATTTGGAGCGCTCTCCGGACTACGGTGATAAAGGAAATATCTTCCAATAAAAGCTAGATAGAAGCAATGTCAGAAACTTTTTCATGATGTATCTACTCAGCTAACAGAGTTGAACCTTTCTTTTGAGAGAGCAGTTTTGAAACACTCTTTTTGTGGAATCTGCAAGTGGATATTTGTCTAGCTTTGAGGATTTCGTTGGAAACGGGATTACATATAAAAAGCAGACAGCAGCATTCCCAGAAACTTCTTTGTGATGTTTGCATTCAAGTCACACAGTTGAACATTCCCTTTCATAGAGCAGGTTTGAAACACTCTTTTTGTAGTATCTGGATGTGGACATTTGGAGCGCTTTCAGGTCTATGGTGAAAAAGGAAATATCTTCCCCTGAAAATTAGACAGAAGCATTCTCAGAATCTTATTTGTGATGTGCGCCCTCAACTAACAGTGTTGAAGCTTTCTTTTGATAGAGCAGTTTTGAAACACTCTTTTTGTAAAATCTGCAAGAGGATATTTGGATAGCTTTGAGGATTTCGTTGGAAACGGGATTGTCTTCATATAAACTCTAGACAGAAGCATTCTCAGATGCTTCATTGGGATGTTTCAATTGAAGTCACAGTGTTGAACAGTCCCTTTCATAGAGCAGGTTTGAAACACTCTTTTTGTAGTATCTGGATGTGGACATTTGGAGCGCTTTCAGGCCTATGGTGAAAAAGGAAATATCTTCCCCTGAAAACTAGACAGAAGCATTCTCAGAAACTTATTTGTGATGTGCGCCCTCAACTAACAGTGTTGAACCTTTCTTTTGATAGAGCAGTTTTGAAACACTCTTTTTGTAATATCTGCAAGAGGATATTTGGATAGCTTTGAGGATTTCGTTGGAAACGGGATTACATATAAAAAGCAGACAGCAGCATTCTCAGAAACTTATTTGTGATGTGCGCCCTCAACTAACAGTGTTGAAGCTTTATTTTGATAGAGCAGTTTTGAAACACTCTTTTTGTAATATCTGCAAGAGAATATTTGGATAGCTTTGAGGATTTCGTTGGAAACGGGATTGTCTTCATATAAACTCTAGAAAGAAGCATTCTGAGAGGCTTCATTGGGATCTTTCAATTGAAGTCACAGTGTTGAACAGTCCCTTTCATAGAGCAGGTTTGAAACACTCTTTTTGTAGTATCTGGAAGTGGACATTTGGAGAGATCTCAGGAATACGGTGATAAAGGTAATATCTTCCAATAAAAGCTAGATAGAAGCAATGTCAGAAACTTTTTCATGATGTATCTACTCAGCTAACAGAGTTGAACCTTTCTTTTGAGAGAGCAGTTTTGAAACACTCTTTTTGTGGAATCTGGAAGTGGATATTTGTCTAGCTTTGAGGATTTCGTTGGAAACGGGATTACATATAAAAAGCAGACAGCAGCATTCCCAGTAACTTCTTTGTGATGTTTGCATTCAAGTCACAGAGTTGAACATTCCCTTTCATGGAGCAGGTTTGAAACACTCTTTTTGTAGTATCTGGATGTGGACATTTGGAGCGCTTTCAGGCCTATGGTGAAAAAGGAAATATCTTCCCCTGAAAACTAGACAGAAGCATTCTCAGAAACTTATTTGTGATGTGCGCCCTCAACTAACAGTGTTGAAGCTTTCTTTTGATAGAGCAGTTTTGAAACACTCTTTTTGTAAAATCTGCAAGAGGATATTTGGATAGCATTGAGGATTTCGTTGGAAACGGGATTGTCTTCATATACAATCTAGACAGAAGCATTCTCAGAAACTTCATTGGGATGTTTCTATTGAAGTCGCAGTGTTGAACAGTCCCTTTCATGGAGCAGGTTTGAAACACTCTTTTTGTAGTATCTGGAAGTGGACATTTGTAGCGCTTTCAGGGCTATGTTGAAAAAGGAAATATCTTCCCATAAAAACTAGACAGAAGCATTCTCAGAAACTTATTTGTGATGTGCGCCCTCAACTAACAGTGTTGAAGCTTTCTTTTGATAGAGCAGTTTGGAAACACTCTTTTTGTGGAATCTGCAAGTGGATATTTGTCTAGCTTTGAGGATTTCGTTGGAAACGGGATTACATATAAAAAGCAGACAGCAGCATTCCCAGAATCTTCTTTGTGATCTTTGCATTCAAGTCACAGAGTTGAACATTCCCTTTCAGAGAGCAGGTTTGAAACACTCTTTTTATAGAATCTGGATGTGGACATTTGGAGCGCTTTCAGGCCTATGGTGAAAAAGGAAATATCTTCTCCTGAAAACTAGACAGAAGCATTCTCAGAAGCTTCATTGGGATGTTTCAATTGAAGTCACAGTGTTGAACAGTCCCTTTCATAGAGCAGGTTTGAAACACTCTCTTTGTAGTATCTGGAAGTGGACATTTTGAGAGATCTCAGGAATACGGTGATAAAGGAAATATCTTCCAATAAAAGCTAGATAGAAGCAATGTCAGAAACTTTTTCATGATGTATCTACTCAGCTAACACAGTTGAACCTTTCTTTTCAGAGAGCAGTTTTGAAACACTCTTTTTGTGGAATCTGCAAGTGGATATTTGTCTAGCTTTGAGGATTTCGTTGGAAACGGGATTACATATAAAAAGCAGACAGCAGCATTCCCAGAAACTTCTTTGTGATGTTTGCATTCAAGTCACAGAGTTGAACATTCTCTTTCATAGAGCAGGTTTGAAACACTCTTTTTGTAGTATCTGGATGTGGACATTTGCAGCGCTTTCAGGCCTAAGGTGAAAAAGGAAATATCTTCCCCTGAAAACTAGACAGAAGCATTCTCAGAAACTTATTTGTGATGTGCGCCCTCAACTAACAGTGTTGAAGCTTTCTTTTGATAGAGCAGTTTTGAAACACTCTTTTTGTAATATCTGCAAGAGGATATTTGGATAGCTTTGAGGATTTCGTTGGAAACGGGATTGTCTTCATATAAACTCTAGACAGAAGCATTCTCAGAAGCTTCATTGGGATGTTTCAATTGAAGTCACAGTGTTGAACAGTTCCTTTCATAGAACAGGTTTGAAACACTCTTTTTGTAGTATCTGGAAGTGGACATTTGGAGGGCTCTCAGGACTATGGTGAAAAATTAAATATCTTCCAATAAAAGCTACATAGAAGCATTCTCAGAAACTTATTTGTGATGTGCGCCCTCAACTAACAGTGTTGAAGCTTTCTTTTGATAGAGCAGTTTTGAAACACTCTTTTTGTGGAATCTGCAAGTGGATATTTGTCTAGCTTTGAGGATTTCGTTGGAAACGGGATTACATATAAAAAGCAGACAGCAAGCATTCTCAGAATTTTATCTGTGATGTGCGCCCTCAACTAACAGTGTTGAAGCTTTCTTTTGATAGAGCAGTTTTGAAACACTCTTTTTGTAAAATCTGCAAGAGGATATTTGCATAGCTTTGAGGATTTCATTGGAAACGGGATTGTCTTCATATAAACTCTAGACAGAAGCATTCTCAGAAGCTTCATTGGGATGTTTCAATTGAAGTCACAGTGTTGAACAGTCCCTTTCATAGAGCAGGTTTGAAACACTCTTTTTGTAGTATCTGGAAGTGGACATTTGGAGCGCTCTCAGGACTACGGTGAAAAAGGAAATATCTTCCAATAAAAGCTACATAGAAGCAATGTCAGAAACTTTTTCATGATGTATCTACTCAGCTAACAGAGTTGAACCTTCCTTTGAGAGAGCAGTTTTGAAACACTCTTTTTGTGGAATCTGCAAGGGGATATTTGCCTAGCTTTGAGGATTTCGTTGGAAACGGGATTACATATAAAAAGCAGACAGCAGCATTCCCAGAAACTTCTTTGTGAAGTTTGCATTCAAGTCACAGAGTTGAACATTCCCTTTCATAGAGCAGGTTTGAAACACTCTTTTTGTAGTATCTGTATGTGGACATTTGGAGCGCTTTCAGGCCTATGGTGAAAAAGGAAATATCTTCCCCTGAAAACTAGACAGAAGCATTCTCAGAAACTTATTTGTGATGTGCGCCCTCAACTAACAGTGTTGAAGCTTTCTTTTGATAGAGCAGTTTTGAAACACTCTTTTTGTGGAATCTGCAAGTGGATATTTGTCTAGCTTTGAGGATTTCGTTGGAAACGGGATTACATATAAAAAGCAGACAGCAGCATTCTCAGAAACTTATTTGTGATGTGCGCCCTCAACTAACAGTGTTGAAGCTTTATTTTGATAGAGCAGTTTTGAAACACTCTTTTTGTAATATCTGCAAGAGAATATTTGGATAGCTTTGAGGATTTCGTTGGAAACGGGATTGTCTTCATATAAACTCTAGAAAGAAGCATTCCCAGAAGCTTCATTGGGATGTTTCAATTGAAGTCACAGTGTTGAACAGTTCCTTTCATAGAACAGGTTTGAAACACTCTTTTTGTAGTATCTGGAAGTGGACATTTGGAGCGCTCTCAGGACTGTGGTGAAAAAGGAAATATCTTCCAATAAAAGCTACATAGAAGCAATGTCAGAAACTTTTTCATGATGTATCTACTCAGCTAACAGAGTTGAACCTTTCCTTTGAGAGAGCAGTTTTGAAACACTCTTTTTGTGGAATCTGCAAGTGGATATTTGTCTAGCTTTGAGGATTTCGTTGGAAACGGGAATACATATAAAAAGCAGACAGCAGCATTCCCAGTAACTTCTTTGTGATGTTTGCATTCAAGTCACAGAGTTGAACATTCCCTTTCATAGAGCAGGTTTGAAACACTCTTTTTGTAGTATCTGGATGTGGACATTTGGAGTGCTTTCAGGCCTATGGTGAAAAAGGAAATATCTTCCCCTGAAAACTAGACAGAAGCATTCTCAGAATCTTATTTGTGATGTGCGCCCTCAACTAACAGTGTTGAAGCTTTCTTTTGATAGAGCAGTTTTGAAACACTCTTTTTGTAAATTCTGCAAGAGGATATTTGGATAGCTTTGAGGATTTCGTTGGAAACGGGATTGTCTTCATATAAACTCTAGACAGAAGCATTCTCAGAAGCTTCATTGGGATGTTTCAATTGAAGTCACAGTGTTGAACAGTCCCTTTCATAGAGCAGGTTTGAAACAATCTTTTTGTAGTATCTGGATGTGGACATTTGGAGCGCTTTCAGGCCTATGGTGAAAAAGGAAATATCTTCCCCTGAAAACTAGAGAGAAGCATTCTCAGAAACTTATTTGTGATGTGCGCCCTCAACTAACAGTGTTGAAGCATTCTTTTGATAGAGCAGTTTTGAAACACTCTTTTTGTGGAATCTGCAAGTGGATATTTGTCTAGCTTTGAGGATTTCGTTGGAAACGGGATTACATATAAAAAGCAGACAGCAGCATTCTCAGAAACTTATTTGTGATGTGCGCCCTCAACTAACAGTGTTGAAGCTTTCTTTTGATAGAGCAGTTTTGAAACACTCTTTTTGTAATATCTGCAAGAGGATATTTGGATAGCTTTGAGGATTTCGTTGGAAACGGGATTAATTATACAAAGCAGACAGCAGCATTCTCAGAAGCTTCATTGGGATGTTTCAATTGAAGTCACAGTGTTGAACAGTCCCTTTCATAGAGCAGCTTTGAAACACACTTTTTGTAGTATCTGGAAATGGACAATAGGAGCGTTCTCAGGACTACGGTGAAAAAGGAAATATCTTCCAATAAAAGCTAGATAGAAGCAATGTCAGAAACTTTTTCATGATGTATCTACTCAGCTAACAGAGTTGAACATTTTGTTTGAGAGTGCAGTTTTGAAACACGCTTTTTCAGGAATCTATAGGTGGATATTTGTCTAGCTTTCAGGATTTCGTTGGAAACGGGATTACATATAAAAAGAAGACAGCAGCATTCCCAGAAACTTCTTTGTGATGTTTGCATTCAAGTCACAGAGTTGAACATTCCCTTTCATAGAGCAGGTTTGAAACACTCTTTTTGTAGTATCTGGATGTGGACATTTGCAGCGCTTTCAGGCCTATGGTGAAAAAGGAAATATCTTCCCCTGAAAACTAGACAGAAGCATTCTCAGAAACTTATTTGTGATGTGCGCCCTCAACTAACAGTGTTGAAGCTTTCTTTTGATAGAGCAGTTTTGAAACACTCTTTTTGTAATATCTGCAAGAGGATATTTGGATAGCTTTGAGGATTTCGTTGGAAACGGGATTGTCTTCATATAAACTCTAGGCAGAAGCATTCTCAGAAGCTTCATTGGGATGTTTCAATTGAAGTCACAGTGTTGAACAGTTCCTTTCATAGAACAGGTTTGAAACACTCTTTTTGTAGTATCTGGAAGTGGACATTTGGAGCGCTCTCAGGACTATGGTGAAAAAGGAAATATCTTCCAATAAAAGCTACATAGAAGCAATGTCAGAATCTTTTTCATGATGTATCTACTCAGCTAACAGAGTTGAACCTTTCTTTTGAGAGAGCAGTTTTGAAACACTCTTTTTGTGGAATCTGCAAGTGGATATTTGTCTAGCTTTGAGGATTTCGTTGGAAACGGGATTACATATAAAAAGCAGACAGCAGCATTCCCAGTAACTTCTTTGTGATGTTTGCATTCAAGTCACAGAGTTGAACATTGCCTTTCATAGAGCAGGTTTGAAACACTCTTTTTGTAGTATCTGGATGTGGACATTTGGAGCACTTTCAGACCTGTGGTGAAAAAGGAAATATCTTCTCCTGAAAACTAGACAGAAGCATTCTCAGAAACTTATTTGTGATGTGCGCCCTCAACTAACAGTGTTGAACTTTTCTTTTGATGGAGCAGTTTTGAAACACTCTTTTTGTAAAATCTGCAAGAGGATATTTGGATAGCTTTGAGGATTTCGTTGGAAACGGGATTGTCTTCATATAAAATCTAGACAGAAGCATTCTCAGAAGCTTCATTGGGATGTTTCAATTGAAGTCACAGTGTTGAACAGTCCCTTTCATAGAGCAGATTTGAAACACTCTTTTTGTAGTATCTGGATGTGGACATTTGGAGCGCTTTCAGGCCTATGGTTTAAAAGGAAATATCTTCCCCTGAAAACTAGACAGAAGCATTCTCAGAAACTTATTTGTGATGTGCGCCCTCAACTAACAATGTTGAAGCTTTCTTTTGATAGAGCAGTTTTGAAACACTCTTTTTGTGGAATCTGCAAGTGGATATTTGTCTAGCTTTGAGAATTTCGTTTGAAACGGGATTACACATAAAAAGCAGACAGCAGCATTCTCAGAATCTTATTTGTGATGTGCGCCCTCAACTAACAGTGTTGAAGCTTTCTTTTGATACAGCAGTTTTGAAACACTCTTTTCGTAAAATCTGTAAGAGGATATTTTGATAGCTTTGAGGATTTCGTTGGAAACGGGATTGTCTTCATATAAACTCTAGACAGAAGCATTCTCAGAAGCTTCATTGGGATGTTTCAGTTGAAGTCACAGTGTTGAACAGTCCCTTTCATAGAGCAGGTTTGAAACACTCTTTTTGTAGTATCTGGAAGTGGACATTTGGAGAGATCTCAGGAATACGGTGATAAAGGAAATATCTTCCAATAAAAGCTAGATAGAAGCAATGTCAGAAACTTTTTCATGATGTATCTACTCAGCTAACAGAGTTGAACCTTTCTTTTGAGAGAGGAGTTTTGAAACACTCTTTTTGTGGAATCTGCAAGTGGATATTTGTCTATCTTTGAGGATTTCGTTGGAAACGGGATTACATATAAAAAGCAGACAGCAGCATTCCCAGAAACTTCTTTGTGATGTTTGCATTCAAGTCACAGAGTTGAACATTCCCTTTCATAGAGCAGGTTTGAAACACTCTTTTTGTAGTATCTGGATGTGGACATTTGGAGCGCTTTCAGGCTTATGGTGAAAAAGGAAATATCTTCCCCTGAAAACTAGACAGAAGCATTCTCAGAAACTTATTTGTGATGTGCGCCCTCAACTAACAGTGTTGAACTTTTCTTTTGATAGAGCAGTTTTGAAACACTCTTTTTGTAAAATCTGCAAGAGGATATTTGGATAGCTTTGAGGATTTCGTTGGAAACGGGATTGTCTTCATATAAAATCTAGACAGAAGCATTCTCAGAAGCTTCATTGGGATGTTTCAATTGAAGTCACAGTGTTGAACAGTCCCTTTCATAGAGCAGGTTTGAAACACTCTTTTTGTAGTATCTGGATGTGGACATTTGGAGCGCTTTCAGGCCTATGGTGAAAAAGGAAATATCTTCCCCTGAAAACTAGACAGAAGCATTCTCAGAAACTTATTTGTGATGTGCGCCCTCAACTAACAGTGTTGAAGCATTCTTTTGATAGAGCTGTTTTGAAACACTCTTTTTGTGGAATCTGCAAGTGGATATTTGTCTAGCTTTGAGGATTTCGTTGGAAACGGGATTAATTATAAAAAGCAGACAGCAGCATTCTCAGCAAACTTATTTGTGATGTGCGCCCTCAACTAACAGTGTGGAACTTTTCTTTTGATAGAGCAGTTTTGAAACACTCTTTTTGTAAAATCTGCAAGAGGATATTTGGATAGCTTTGAGGATTTCGTTGGAAACGGGATTGTCTTCATATAGAATCTAGACAGAAGCATTCTCAGAAGCTTCATTGGGATGTTTCAATTGAAGTCACAGTGTTGAACAGTCCCTTTCATAGAGCAGGTTTGAAACACTCTTTTTGTAGTATCTGGAAGTGGACATTTGGAACGCTCTCAGGACTGCGGTGAAAAAGGAAATATCTTCCAATAAAAGCTAGATAGAAGCAATGTCAGAAACTTTTTCATGATGTATCTACTCAGCTAACAGAGTTGAACCTTTCTTTTGAGAGAGCAGTTTTGAAACACTCTTTTTGTGGAATCTGCAAGTGGATATTTGTCTAGTTTTGAGGATTTCGTTGGAAACGGGATTACATATAAAAAGCAGACAGCAGCATTCCCAGAAACTTCTTTGTGATGTTTGCATTCAAGTCACACCGTTGAACTTTCCCTTTCATAGAGCAGGTTTGAAACACTCTTTTTGTAGTATCTGGATGTGGACATTTGGGGCGCTTTCAGGCTTATGGTGAAAAAGGAAATATCTTCCCCTGAAAACTAGACAGAAGCACTCTCAGAATTTTATTTGTAATGTGCGCCCTCAACTAACAGTGTTGAAGCTTTCTTTTGATAGAGCAGTTTTGAAACACTCTTTTTGTAAAATCTGCAAGAGGATATTTGGATAGCTTTGAGGATTTCTTTGGAAACTGGATTGTCTTCATATAAACTCTAGACAGAAGCATTCTCAGAAGCTTCATTGGGATGTTTCAATTGAAGTCACAGTGTTGAACAGTCCCTTTCATAGAGCAGGTTTGAAACACTCTTTTTGTAGAATCTGGATGTGGACATTTGGAGCGCTTTCAGGCATAAGGTGAAAAAGGAAATATCTTCCCCTGAAAACTAGACAGAAGCATTCTCAGAAACTTATTTGTGATGTGCGCCCTCAACTAACAGTGTTGAAGCTTTCTTTTGATAGAGCAGTTTTGAAACACTCTTTTTGTGGAATCTGCAAGTGGATATTTTTCTAGCTTTGAGGATTTCGTTGGAAACGGGATTACATATAAAAAGCAGACAGCAGCATTCTCAGAATCTTATATGTGATGTGCGCCCTCAACTAACAGTGTTGAAGCTTTCTTTTGATAGAGCAGTTTTGAAACACTCTTTTTGTAAAATCTGCAAGAGGATATTAGGATAGCTTTGAGGATTTCGTTGGAAACGGGATTGTCTTCATATAAACTCTAGACAGAAGCATTCTCAGAAGCTTCATTGGGATGTTTCAATTGAAGTCACAGTGTTGAACAGTCCCTTTCATAGAGCAGGTTTGAAACACTCTTTTTGTAGTATCTGGAAGTGGACATTTGGAGAGATCTCAGGAATACGGTGGTAAAGGAAATATCTTCCAATAAAAGCTAGATAGAAGCAATGTCAGAAACTTTTTCATGATGTATCTACTCAGCTAACAGAGTTGAACCTTTCTTTTGAGAGAGCAGTTTTGAAACACTCTTTTTGTGGAATCTGCAAGTGGATATTTGTCTATCTTTGAGGATTTCGTTGGAATCGGGATTACATATAAAAAGCGAGCAGCAGCATTCCCAGTAACTTCTTTCTGATGTTTGCATTCAAGTCACAGAGTTGAACATTCCCTTTCATAGAGCAGGTTTGAAACACTCTTTTTGAAGTATCTGGATGTGGACATTTGGTGCGCTTTCAGGCCTATGGTGAAAAAGGAAATATCTTCCCCTGAAAACTAGACAGAAGCATTCTCAGAAACTTATTTGTGATGTGCGCCCTCAACTAACAGTGTTGAAGCTTTCTTTTGATAGAGCAGTTTTGAAACACTCTTTTTGTAATATCTGCAAGAGGATATTTGGATAGCTTTGAGGATTTCGTTGGAAACGGGATTCTCTTCATATAAACTCTAGACAGAAGCATTCTCAGAAGCGTCATTGGGATGTTTCAATTGAAGTCACAGTGTTGAACAGTCCCTTTCATAGAGCAGGTTTGAAACACTCTTTTTGTAGTATCTGGATGTGGACATTTGGAGCGCTTTCAGGCCTATGGTTTAAAAGGAAATATCTTCCCCTGAAAACTAGACAGAAGCATTCTCAGAAACTTATTTGTGATTTGCGCCCTCAACTAACAGTGTTGAAGCTTTCTTTTGATAGAGCAGTTTTGAAACACTCTTTTTGTGGAATCTGCAAGTGGATATTTGTCTAGCTTTGAGGATTTCATTGGAAACGGGATTACATAAAAAAAGCAGCCAGCAGCATTCTCAGCAAACTTATTTGTGATGTGCGCCCTCAACTAACAGTGTGGAACTTTTCTTTTGATAGAGCAGTTTTGAAACACTCTTTTTGTAAAATCTGCAAGAGGATATTTGGATAGCTTTGAGGATTTCGTTGGAAACGGGATTGTCTTCATATAGAATCTAGACAGAAGCATTCTCAGAAGCTTCATTGGGATGTTTCAATTGAAGACACAGTGTTGAACAGTCCCTTTCATAGAGCAGGTTTGAAACACTCTTTTTGTAGTATCTGGAAGTGGACATTTGGAGCGCTCTCAGGACTACGGTGAAAAAGGAAGTATCTTCCAATAAAAGCTAGATAGAAGCAATGTCAGAAACACTTTCATGATGTATCTACTCAGCTAACAGAGTTGTAACTTTCTTTTGAGAGAGCAGTTTTGAAACACTCTTTTTGTGGAATCTGCAAGTGGATATTTGTCTAGCTTTGAGGATTTCGTTGGAAACGGGATTACATATAAAAAGCAGACTGCAGCATTCCCAGTAAACTTCTTTGTGATGTTTGCATTCAAGTCACAGAGTTGAACATTCCCTTTCATAGAGCAGGTTTGAAACACTCTTTTTGTAGTATCTGGATGTGGACATTTGGAGCGCTTTCAGGTCTATGGTGAAAAAGGAAATATCTTCCCCTGAAAACTAGACAGAAGCATTCTCAGAAACTTATTTGTGATGTGCGCCCTCAACTAACAGTATTAAACCATTCTTTTCATGGAGTAGTTTTGAAACACTCTTTTTGTAAAATCTGCAAGAGGATATTTGGATAGCTTTGAGGATTTCGTTGGAAACGGGATTGTCTTCATATAAACTCTAGACAGAAGCATTCCCACAAACTTCTTTGCGATGTTTGCATTCAAGTCACAGAGTTGAACATTCCCTTTCATAGAGCAGGTTTGAAACACTCTTTTTGTAGTATCTGTATGTGGACATTTGGAGCGCTTTCAGGCCTATGGTGAAAAAGGAAATATCTTCCCCTGAAAACTAGACAGAAGCATTCTCAAAATCTTATTTGTGATGTGCGCCCTCACCTAACAGTGTTGAAGCTTTCTTTTGATAGAGCAGTTTTGAAACACTCTTTTTGTGGAATCTGCAAGTGGATATTTGTCTAGCTTTGAGGATTTCGTTGGAAACGGGATTACATATAAAAAGCAGACAGCAGCATTCTCAGAAACTTATTTGTGATGTGCGCCCTCAACTAACAGTGTTGAAGCTTTCTTTTGATAGAGCAGTTTTGAAACACTCTTTTTGTAATATCTGCAAGAGGATATTTGGATAGCTTTGAGGATTTCGTTGGAAACGGGATTAATTATACAAAGCAGACAGCAGCATTCTCAGAAGCTTCATTGGGATGTTTCAATTGAAGTCACAGTGTTGAACAGTCCCTTTCATAGAGCAGGTTTGAAACACTCTTTTTGTAGTATCTAGAAGTGGACATTTGGAGAGATCTCAGGAATAAGGTGACAAAGGAAATATCTTCCAATAAAAGCTAGATAGAAGCAATGTCAGAAAATTTTTCATGATGTATCTACTCAGCTAACAGAGTTGAACCTTTCTTTTGAGAGAGCAGTTTTGAAACACTCTTTTTGTGGAATCTGCAAGTGGATATTTGTCTAGCTTTGAGGATTTCGTTGGAAACGGGATTACATATAAAAAGCAGACAGCAGCATTCCCAGAAACTTCTTTGTGTTGTTTGCATTCAAGTCACAGAGTTGAACATTCCCTTTCATAGAGCAGGTTTGAAACACTCTTTTTGTAGTATCTGGATGTGGACATTTGCAGCGCTTTCAGGCCTAAGGTGAAAAAGTAAATATCTTCCCCTGAAAACTAGACAGAAGTAGTCTCAGAAACTTATTTGTGATGTGCGCCCTCAACTAACAGTGTTGAAGCTTTCTTTTCACAGAGCCGTTTTGAAACACGCTTTTTGTAAAATCTGCAAGAGGATATTTGGATAGCTTTGAGGATTTCGTTGGAAACGGGATTGTCTGCATATAAACTACTAGACAGAAGCATTCTCAGAAGCTTCATTGGGATGTTTCAATTGAAGTCACAGTGTTGAACAGTCCCTTTCATAGAGCAGGTTTGAAACACTCTTTTTGTAGTATCTGGAAGTGGACATTTGGAGAGATCTCAGGAATACGGTGAAAAAGGGAATATCTTCTCCTGAAAACTAGACAGAAGCATTCTCAGAAACTTATTTGTGATGTGCGCCCTCAACTAACAGTGTTGAACCTTTCTTTTGATAGAGCAGTTTTGAAACACTCTTTTTGTAATATCTGCAAGAGGATATTTGGATAGCTTTGAGGATTTCGTTGGAAACGGGATTAATTACAAAAAGCAGACAGCAGCATTCTCAGCAAACTTATTTGTGATGTGCGCCCTCAACTAACAGTGTGGAACTTTTCTTTTGATAGAGCAGTTTTGAAACACTCTTTTTGTAAAATCTGCAAGAGGATATTTGGATAGCTTTGAGGATTTCGTTGGAAACGGGATTGTCTTCATATAGAATCTAGACAGAAGCATTCTCAGAAGCTTCATTGGGATGTTTCAATTGAAGTCACAGTGTTGAACAGTTCCTTTCATAGAACAGGTTTGAAACACTCGTTTTGTAGTATTTGGAAGTGGACATTTGGAGCGCTCTCAGGACTGCGGTGAAAAAGGAAATATCTTCCAATAAAAGCTAGATAGAAGCAATGTCAGAAACTTTTTCATGATGTATCTACTCAGCTAACAGAGTTGAACCTTTCTTTTGAGAGAGCAGTTTTGAAACACTCTTTTTGTGGAATCTGCAAGTGGATATTTGTCTAGCTTTGAGGATTTCGTTGGAAACGGGATTACATATAAAAAGCAGACAGCAGCATTCCCAGAATCTTCTTTGTGATGTTTGCATTCAAGACACAGAGTTGAACATTCCCTTTCATAGAGCAGGTTTGAAACACTCTTTTTGTAGTATCTGGATGTGGACATTTGGAGCGCTTTCAGGCCTATGGTGAAAATGGAAATATCTTCTCCTGAAAACTAGACAGAAGCATTCTCAGAATCTTATTTGTGATGTGCGCCCTCAACTAACAGTGTTGAAGCTTTCTTTTGATAGAGCAGTTTTGAAACACTCTTTTTGTAAAATCTGCAAGAGGATATTTGGATAGCTTTGAGGATTTCGTTGGAAACGGGATTGTCTTCATATAAACTCTAGACAGAAGCATTCTCAGAAGCTTCATTGGGATGTTTCAATTGAAGTTGCAGTGTTGAACAGTCCCTTTCATAGAGCAGGTTTGAAACACTCTTTTTGTAGTATCTGGATGTGGACATTTGGAGCGCTTTCAGGCCTATGGTTTAAAAGGAAATATCTTCCCCTGAAAACTAGACAGAAGCATTCTCAGAAACTTATTTGTGATGTGCGCCCTCAACCAACAGTGTTGAAGCTTTCTTTTGACAGAGCAGTTTTGAAACACTCTTTTTGTGGAACCTGCAAGTGGATATTTGTCTAGCTTTGAGGATTTCGTTGGAAACGGGATTACATATAAAAAGCAGACAGCAGCATTCTCAGTAAACTTATTTGTGATGTGCGCCCTCAACTAACAGTGTTGAACCTTTCTTTTGATAGAGCAGTTTTGAAACACTCTTTTTGTAATATCTGCAAGAGGATATTTGGATAGCTTTGAGGATTTCGTTGGAAACGGGATTGTCTTCATATAAACTCTAGACAGAAGCATTCTCAGAAGCTTCATTGGGATGTTTCAATTGAAGTCACAGTGTTGAACAGTCCCTTTCGTAGAGCAGGTTTGAAACACTCTTTTTGTAATATCTGGAAGTGGACAATTGGAGCGTTCTCAGGACGACGGTGAAAAAGGGAATATCTTCCAATAAAAGCTAGATAGAAGCAATGTCAGAAACTTTTTCATGATGTATCTACTCAGCTAACAGAGGTGAACCTTTCTTTTGAGAGAGCCGTTTTGAAACACTCTTTTTGTTGGATCTGCAGGTGGATATTTGTCTAGGTTTGAGGATTTCGTTGGAAAAGGGATTACATATAAAAAGCAGACAGCAGCATTCCCAGAAACTTCTTTGTGATGTTTGCATTCAAGTCACAGAGTTGAACATTCCCTTTCATAGAGCAGGTTTGAAACACTCTTTTTGTAGTATCTGGATGTGGACATTTGGAGCGCTCTCAGGCCTATGGTGAAAAAGGAAATATCTTCCCCTGCAAACTAGACAGAAGCATTCTCAGAAACTTATATGTGATGTGCGCCCTCAACTAACAATGTTGAACCTTTCTTTTGATAGAGTAGTTTTGAAACACTCTTTTTGTAAAATCTGCAAGAGGATATTTGGATAGCTTTGAGGATTTCGTTGGAAACGGGATTGTCTTCATATAAAATCTAGACAGTAGCATTCTCAGAAGCTTCATTGGGATGTTTCAATTGAAGTCACAGTATTGAACAGTCCCTTTCATAGAGCAGGTTTGAAACACTCTTTTTGTAGTATCTGGATGTGGACATTTGGAGCGCTTTCAGGCCTATGGTTTAAAAGGAAATATCTTCCCCTGAAAACTAGACAGAAGCATTCTCAGAAACTTATTTGTGATGTGCGCCCTCAACTAACAGTGTTGAAGCTTTCTTTTGATAGAGCAGTTTTGAAACACTCTTTTTGTGGAATCTGCAAGTGGATATTTGTCTAGCTTTGAGGATTTCGTTGGAAACGGGATTACATATAAAAAGCAGACAGCAGCATTCTCAGAAACTTATTTGTGATGTGCGCCCTCAACTAACAGTGTTGAAGCTTTATTTTGATAGAGCAGTTTTGAAACACTCTTTTTGTAATATCTGCAAGAGAATATTTGGATAGCTTTGAGGATTTCGTTGGAAACGGGATTGTCTTCATATAAACTCTAGAAAGATGCATTCTCAGAAGCTTCATTGGGATGTTTCAATTGAAGTCACACTGTTGAACAGTCCCTTTCATAGAGCAGGTTTGAAACACTCTTTTTGTAGTATCTGGAAGTGGACATTTGGAGCGCTCTTAGGACTACGGTGAAAAAGGAAATATCTTCCAATAAAAGCTAGATAGAAACAATGTCAGAAACTTTTTCATGATGTATCTACTCAGCTAACAGAGTTGAACCTTTTTTTTGAGAGAGCAGTTTTGAAACACTCTTTTTGTTCGATCTGCAGGTGGATATTTGTCTAGGTTTGAGGATTTCGTTGGAAACGGGATTACATATAAAAAACAGACAGTAGCATTCCCAGAAACTTCTTTGTGATGTTTGCATTCAAGTCACAGAGTTGAACATTCCCTTTCATAGAGCAGGTTTGAAACACTCTTTTTGTAGTATCTGGATGTGGACATTTGGAGCGCTTTCAGGCCTATGGTGAAAAAGGAAATATCTTCCCCTGAAAACTAGACAGAAGCATTCTCAGAATCTTATTTGTGATGTGCGCCCTCAACTAACAGTGTTGAAGCTTTCTTTTGATAGAGCAGTTTTGAAACACGCTTTTCGTAAAATCTGCAAGAGGATATTTGGATAGCTTTGAGGATTTCGTTGGAAACGGGATTGTCTTCATATAAACTCTAGACAGAAGAATTCTCAGAAGCTTCATTGGGATGTTTCAATTGAAGTCACAGTGTTGAACAGTCCCTTTCATAGAGCAGGTTTGAAACACTCTTTTTGTAGTATCTGGATGTGGACATTTGGAGCGCTTTCAGGCCTATGGTTTAAAAGGAAATATCTTCCCCTGAAAACTAGACAGAAGCATTCTCAGAAACTTATTTGTGATGCGCCCCCTCAACTAACAGTGTTGAAGCTTTCTTTTGATAGAGCAGTTTTGAAACACTCTTTTTGTGGAATCTGCAAGTGGATATTTGTCTAGCTTTGAGGATTTCGTTGGAAACGGGATTACATATAAAAAGCAGACAGCAGCATTCTCAGAAACTTATTTGTGATGTGCGCCCTCAACTAACAGTGTTGAAGCTTTCTTTTGATAGAGCAGTTTTGAAACACTCTTTTTGTAATATCTGCAAGAGGATATTTGGATAGCTTTGAGGATTTCGTTGGAAACGGGATTAATTATACAAAGCAGACAGCAGCATTCTCAGAAGCTTCATTGGGATGTTTCAATTGAAGTCACAGTGTTGAACAGTCCCTTTCATATAGCAGGTTTGAAACACTCTTTTTGTAGTATCTGGAAGTGGACATTTTGAGCGCTCTCAGGACTACGGTGAAAAAGGTAATATCTTCCAATAAAAGCTAGATAGAAGCAATGTCAGAAACTTTTTCATGATGTATCTACTCAGCTAACAGAGTTGAACCTTTTTTTTCAGAGAGCAGTTTTGAAACACTCTTTTTGTTGGATCGGCAGGTGGATATTTGTCTAGCTTTGAGGATTTTGTTGGAAACGGGATTACATATAAAAAGCAGACAGCAGCATTCCCAGAAACTTCTTTGTGATGTTTGCATTCAAGTCACAGAGTTGAACATTCCCTTTCAGAGAGCAGGTTTGAAACACTCTTTTTGTAGTATCTGGATGTGGACATTTGGAGCGCTTTCAGGCCTATGGTGAAAAAGGAAATATCTTCCCCTGAAAACTAGACAGAAGCATTCTCAGAAACTTATTTGTGATGTGCGCCCTCAACTAACAGTGTTGAAGCTTTCTTTTGATAGAGCAGTTTTGAAACACTCTTTTTGTAATATCTGCAAGAGGATATTTGGATAGCTTTGAGGATTTCGTTGGAAACGGGATTGTCTTCATATAAAGTCTAGACAGAAGCATTCTCAGAAGCTTCATTGGGATGTTTCAATTGAAGTCACAGTGTTGAACAGTCCCTTTCATAGAGCAGGTTTGAAACACTCTTTTTGTAGTATCTGGATGTGGACATTTGGAGCGCTTTCAGGCCTATGGTTTAAAAGGAAATATCTTCCCCTGAAAACTAGACAGAAGCATTCTCAGAAACTTATTTGTGATGTGCGCCCTCAACTAACAGTGTTGAACCTTTCTTTTGATAGAGCAGTTTTGAAACACTCTTTTTGTAATATCTGCAAGAGGATATTTGGATAGCTTTGAGGATTTCGTTGGAAACGGGATTACATATAAAAAGCAGACAGCAGCATTCTCAGAAACTTATTTGTGATGTGCGCCCTCAACTAACAGTGTTGAAGCTTTATTTTGATAGAGCAGTTTTGAAACACTCTTTTTGTAATATCTGCAAGAGAATATTTGGATAGCTTTGAGGATTTCGTTGGAAACGGGATTGTCTTCATATAAACTCTAGAAAGAAGCATTCTCAGAAGCTTCATTGGGATGTTTCAATTGAAGTCACAGTGTTGAACAGTCCCTTTCATAGAGCAGGTTTGAAACACTCTTTTTGTAGTATCTGGAAGTGGACATTTGGAGCGCTCTCAGGACTACGGTGAAAAAGGAAATATCTTCCAATAAAAGCTACATAGAAGCAATGTCAGAAACTTTTTCATGATGTATCTACTCAGCTAACAGAGTTGAACCTTTCCTTTGAGAGAGCAGTTTTGAAACACTCTTTTTGTGGAATCTGCAAGTGGATATTTGTCTAGCTTTGAGGATTTCGTTGGAAACGGGATTACATATAAAAAGCAGACAGCAGCATTCCCAGAAACTTCTTTGTGATGTTTGCATTCAAGTCACAGAGTTGAACATTCCCTTTCATAGAGCAGGTTTGAAACACTCTTTTTGTAGTATCTGGATGTGGACATTTGGAGCGCTTTCAGGCCTATGGTGAGAAAGGAAATATCTTCCCCTGAAAACTAGACAGAAGCAATGTCAGAAACTTTTTCATGATGTATCCGTCACCTCAGCTAACAGAGTTGAACCTTTCTTTTGAGAGAGCAGTTTTGAAACACTCTTTTTGTAAAATCTGCAAGAGGATATTTGGATAGCTTTGAGGATTTCGTTGGAAACGGGATTGTCTTCATATAAACTCTAGACAGAAGCATTCTCAGAAGCGTCATTGGGATGTTTCAATTGAAGTCACAGTGTTGAACAGTCCCTTTCATAGAGCAGGTTTGAAACACTCTTTTTGTAGTATCTGGATGTGGACATTTGGAGCGCTTTCAGGCCTATGGTTTAAAAGGAAATATCTTCCCCTGAAAACTAGACAGAAGCATTCTCAGAAACTTATTTGTGATGTGCGCCCTCAACTAACAGTGTTGAAGCATTCTTTTGATAGAGCAGTTTTGAAACACTCTTTTTGTGGAATCTGCAAGTCGATATTTGTCTAGCTTTGAGGATTTCGTTGTTAACGGGATTACATATAAAAAGCAGACAGCAGCATTCTCAGAAACTTATTTGTGATGTGCGCCCTCAACTAACAGTGTTGAAGCTTTCTTTTGATAGAGCAGTTTTGAAACACTCTTTTTGTAATATCTGCAAGAGGATATTTGGATAGCTTTGAGGATTTCGTTGGAAACGGGATTAATTATACAAAGCAGACAGCAGCATTCTCAGAAGCTTCATTGGGATGTTTCAATTGAAGTCACAGTGTTGAACAGTCCCTTTCATAGAGCAGGTTTGAAACACTCTTTTTGTAGTATCTGGAAGTGGACATTTGGAGAGATCTCAGGAATACGGTGATAAAGGAAATATCTTCCAATAAAAGCTAGATAGAAGCAATGTCAGAAACTTTTTCATGATGTATCTACTCAGCTAACAGAGTTGAACCTTTCCTTTGAGAGAGCAGTTTTGAAACACTCTTTTTGTGGAATCTGCAAGTGGATATTTGTCTAGCTTTGAGGATTTCGTTGGAAACGGGATTACATATAAAAAGCAGACAGCAGCATTCCCAGAAACTTCTTTGTGATGTTTGCATTCAAGTCACAGAGTTGAACATTCCCTTTCATAGACCAGGTTTGAAACACTCTTTTTGTAGTATCTGGATGTGGACATTTGGAGCGCTTTCAGGCCTATGGTGAAAAAGGAAATATCTTCCCCTGAAAACTAGACAGAAGCATTCTCAGAATCTTATTTGTCATGTGCGCCCTCAACTAACAGTGTTGAAGCTTTCTTTTGATAGAGCAGTTTTGAAACACTCTTTTTGTAAAATCTGCAAGAGGATATTTGGATAGCTTTGAGGATTTCGTTGGAAACGGGACTGTCTTCATATAAACTCTAGAGAGAAGCATTCTCAGAAGCTTCATTGGGATGTTTCAATTGAAGTCACAGTGTTGAACAGTCCCTTTCATAGAGCAGGTTTGAAACACTCTTTTTGTAGAATCTGGATGTGGACATTTGGAGCGCTTTCAGGCATAAGGTGAAAAAGGAAATATCTTCCCCTGAAAACTAGACAGAAGCATTCTCAGAAACTTATTTGTGATGTGCGCCCTCAACTAACAGTGTTCAAGCTTTCTTTTGATAGAGCAGTTTTGAAACACTCTTTTTGTAATATCTGCAAGAGGATATTTGGATAGCATTGAGGATTTCGTTGGAAACGAGATTACATATAAAAAGCAGACAGCTAAGCATTCTCCGAAACTTATTTGTGATGGGCGCCCTCAACTAACAGTGTTGAAGCTTTCTTTTGATAGAGCAGTTTTGAAACACTCTTTTTGTAATATCTGCAAGAGGATATTTGGATAGCTTTCAGGATTTCGTTGGAAACGGGATTGTCTTCATATAAACTCTAGACATAAGCATTCTCAGAAGCTTCATTGGGATATTTCAATTGAAGTCACAGTGTTGAACAGTCCCTTTCATAGAGCAGGTTTGAAACACTCTTTTTGTAGTATCTGGAAGTGGACATTTGGAGCGCTCTCAGGACTACGGTGAAAAAGGAAATATCTTCCAATAAAAGCTACATAGAAGCAATGCCAGAAACTTTTTCATGATGTATCTACTCAGCTAACAGAGTTGAAGCTTTCTTTTGACAGAGCAGTTTTGAAACACTCTTTTTGTGGAATCTGCAAGTGGATATTTGTCTAGCTTTGAGGATTTCGTTGGAAACGGGATTACATATAAAAAGCAGACAGCAGCATTCCCAGTAACTTCTTTGTGATGTTTGCATTCAAGTCACAGAGTTGAACACTCCCTTTCATAGAGCAGGTTTGAAACACTCTTTTTGTAGTATCTGGATGTGGACATTTGCAGCGCTTTCAGGCCTAAGGTGAAAAAGGAAATATCTTCCCCTGAAAACTAGACAGAAGCATTCTCAGAATCTTATTTGTGATGTGCGCCCTCAACTAACAGTGTTGAACCTTTCTTTTGATAGAGCAGTTTTGAAACACTCTTTTTGTAAAATCTGCAAGAGGATATTTGGATAGCTTTGAAGATTTCGTTGGAAACGGGATTGTCTTCATATAAACTCTAGACAGGAAGCATTCTCAGAAGCTTCATTGGGATGTTTCAATTGAAGTCACAGTGTTGAACAGTCCCTTTCATAGAGCAGGTTTGAAACACTCTTTTTGTAGTATCTGGATGTGGACATTTGGAGCGCTTTCAGGCCTATGGTTTAAAAGGAAATATCTTCCCCTGAAAACTAGACAGAAGCATTCTCAGAAACTTATTTGTGATGTGCGCCCTCAACTAACAGTGTTGAAGCATTCTTTTGATAGAGCAGTTTTGAAACACTCTTTTTGTGGAATCTGCAAGTGGATATTTGTCTAGCTTTGAGGATTTCGTTGGAAACGGGATTACATATAAAAAGCAGACAGCAGCATTCTCAGTAAACTTATTTGTGATGTGCGCCCTCAACTAACAGTGTTGAACCTTTCTTTTGATAGAGCAGTTTTGAAACACTCTTTTTGTAATATCTGCAAGAGGATATTTGGATAGCTTTGAGGATTTCGTTGGAAACGGGATTGTCTTCATATAAACTCTAGACAGAAGCATTCTCAGAAGCTTCATTGGGATGTTTCAATTGAAGTCACAGTGTTGAACAGTCCCTTTCATAGAGCAGGTTTGAAACACTCTTTTTGTAGTATCTGGAAGTGGACATTTGGAGAGATCTCAGGAATACGGTGATAAAGGAAATATCTTCCAATAAAAGCTAGATAGAAGCAATGTCAGAAACTTTTTCATGATGTATCTACTCAGCTAACAGAGTTGAACCTTCCTTTGAGAGAGCAGTTTTGAAACACTCTTTTTGTGGAATCTGCAAGTGGATATTTGTCTAGCTTTGAGGATTTCGTTGGAAACGGGTTACATATAAAAAGCAGACAGCAGCATTCCCAGAAACTTCTTTGTGTTGTTTGCATTCAAGTCACAGAGTTGAACATTCCCTTTCATAGAGCAGGTTTGAAACACTCTTTTTGTAGTATCTGGATGCGGACATTTGCAGCGCTTTCAGGCCTAAGGTGAAAAAGGAAATATCTTCCCCTGAAAACTAGACAGAAGCATTCTCAGAAACTTATTTGTGATGTGCGCCCTCAACTAACAGTGTTGAAGCTTTCTTTTGATAGAGCAGTTTTGAAACACTCTTTTTGTAATATCTGCAAGAGGATATTTGGATAGCTTTGAGGATTTCGTTGGAAACGGGATTGTCTTCATATAAACTCTAGACAGAAGCATTCTCAGAAGCTTCATTGGGATGTTTCAATTGAAGTCACAGTGTTGAACAGTCCCTTTCATAGAGCAGGTTTCAAACACTCTTTTTGTAGTATCTGGATGTGGACATTTGGAGCGCTTTCAGGCCTATGGTTTAAAAGGAAATATCTTCCCCTGAAAACTAGACAGAAGCATTCTCAGAAACTTATTTGTGATGTGCGCCCTCAACTAACAGTGTTGAAGCATTCTTTTGATAGAGCAGTTTTGAAACACTCTTTTTGTGGAATCTGCAAGTGGATATTTGTCTAGCTTTGAGGATTTCGTTGGAAACGGGATTACATATAAAAAGCAGACAGCAGCATTCTCAGAAACTTATTTGTGATGTGCGCCCTCAACTAACAGTGTTGAAGCTTTCTCTTGATAGAGCAGTTTTGAAACACTCTTTTTGTAAAATCTGCAAGAGGATATTTGGATAGCTTTGAGGATTTCGTTGGAAACGGGATTGTCTTCATATAAACTCTAGACAAAAGCATTCTCAGAAGCTTCATGGGGATGTTTCAATTGAAGTCACAGTGTTGAACAGTTCCTTTCATAGAACAGGTTTGAAACACTCTTTTTGTAGTATCTGGAAGTGGACATTTGGAGCGCTCTCAGGACTATGGTGAAAAAGGAAATATCTTCCAATAAAAGCTACATAGAAGCAATGTCAGAAACATTTTCATGATGTATCTACTCAGCTAACAGAGTTGAACCTTTCTTTTGGGAGAGCAGTTTTGAAACACTCTTTTTGTGGAATCTGCAAGTGGATATTTGTCTAGCTTTGAGGATTTCGTTGGAAACGGGATTACATATAAAAAGCAGACAGCAGCATTCCCAGTAACTTCTTTGTGATGTTTGCATTCAAGTCACAGAGTTGAACATTCCCTTTCATAGAGCAGGTTTGAAACACTCTTTTTGTAGTATCTGGATGTGGACATTTGCAGCGCTTTCAGGCCTATGGTGAAAAAGGAAATATCTTCCCCAGAAAACTAGACAGAAGCATTCTCAGAAACTTATTTGTGATGTGCGCCCTCAACTAACAGTGTTGAACCTTTCTTTTGATAGAGCAGTTTTGAAACACTCTTTTTGTAATATCTGCAAGAGGATATTTGGATAGCTTTGAGGATTTCGTTGGAAACGGGATTGTCTTCATATAAACTCTAGACAGAAGCATTCTCAGAAGCTTCATTGGGATGTTTCAATTGAAGTCACAGTGTTGAACAGTCCCTTTCATAGAGCAGGTTTGAAACACTCTTTTTGTAGTATCTGGATGTGGACATTTGGAGCGCTTTCAGGCCTATGGTTTAAAAGGAAATATCTTCCCCTGAAAACTAGACAGAAGCATTCTCAGAATCTTATTTGTGATGTGCACCCTCAACTAACAGTGTTGAAGCTTTCTTTTGATAGAGCAGTTTTGAAACACTCTTTTTGTGGAATCTGCAAGTGGATATTTGTCTAGTTTTGAGGATTTCGTTGGAAACGGGATTACATATAAAAAGCAGACAGCAGCATTCTCAGAAACTTATTTGTGATGTGCGCCCTCAACTAACAGTGTTGAAGCTTTCTTTTGATAGAGCAGTTTTGAAACACTCTTTTTGTAAAATCTGCAAGAGGATATTTGGATAGCTTTGAGGATTTCGTTGGAAACGGGATTATCTTCATATAAAATCTAGACAGAAGCATTCTCAGAAGCTTCATTGGGATGTTTCAATTGAAGTCACAGTGTTGAACAGTCCCTTTCATAGAGCAGGTTTGAAACACTCTTTTTGTAGTATCTGGAAGTGGACATTTGGAGCGCTGTCAGGACTGCGGTGAAAAAGGAATTATCTTCCAATAAAAGCTAGATAGAAGCAATGTCAGAAACTTTTTCATGATGTATCTACTCAGCTAACAGAGTTGAACCTTTCTTTTGAGAGAGCAGTTTTGAAACACTCTTTTTGTGGAATCTGCAAGAGGATATTTGGATAGCTTTGAGGATTTCTTTGGAAACGGGATTGTCTTCATATAAACTCTAGACAGAAGCATTCCCAGTAACTTGTTTGTGATGTTTCCATTCAAGTGACAGAGTTGAACATTCCCTTTCATAGAGCAGGTTTGAAACACTCTTTTTGTAGTATCTGGATGTGGACATTTGGAGCGCTTTCAGGCCTATGGTGAAAAAGGAACTATCTTCCTCTGAAAACTAGACAGAAGCATTCTCAGAAACTTATTTGTGATGTGCGCAATCAACTAACAGTGTTGAAGCTTTCTTTTGATAGAGCAGTTTTGAAACACTCTTTTTGTGGAATCTGGAAGTGGATATTTGTCTAGCTTTGAGGATTTCGTTGGAAACGGGATTACATATAAAAAGCAGACAGCAGCATTCTCAGTAAACTTATTTGTGATGTGCGCCCTCAACTAACAGTGTTGAACCTTTCTTTTGATAGAGCAGTTTTGAAACACTCTTTTTGTAATATCTGCAAGAGGATATTTGGATAGCTTTGAGGATTTCGTTGGAAACGGGATTGTCTTCATATAAACTCTAGACAGAAGCATTCTCAGAAGCTTCATTGGGATGTTTCAATTGAAGTCACAGTGTTGAACAGTCCCTTTCATAGAGCAGGTTTGAAACACTCTTTTTGTAGTATCTGGAAGTGGACATTTGGAGAGATCTCAGGAATACGGTGATAAAGGAAATATCTTCCAATAAAAGCTAGATAGAAGCAATGTCAGAAAATTTTTCATGATGTATCTACTCAGCTAACAGAGTTGAACCTTCCTTTGAGAGAGCAGTTTTGAAACACTCTTTTTGTGGAATCTGCAAGTGGATATTTGTCTAGCTTTGAGGATTTCGCTGGAAACGGGATTACATATAAAAACAGACAGCAGCATTCCCAGTAACTTCTTTGTGATGTTTGCATTCAAGTCACAGAGTTGAACATTCCCTTTCATAGAGCAGGTTTGAAACACTCTTTTTGTAGTATCTGGATGTGGACATTTGGAGCGCTTTCAGGCCTATGGGGAAAAAGGAAATATCTTCCTCTGAAAACTAGACAGAAGCATTCTCAGAAACTTATTTGTGATGTGCGCCCTCAACTAACAGTGTTGAACCTTTCTTTTGATAGAGCAGTTTTGAAACACTCTTTTTGTAATATCTGCAAGAGGATATTTGGATAGCTTTGAGGATTTCGTTGGAAACGGGATTGTCTTCATATAAACTCTAGACAGAAGCATTCTCAGAAGCTTCATTGGGATGTTTCAATTGAAGTCACAGTGTTGAACAGTCCCTTTCATAGAGCAGGTTTGAAACACTCTTTTTGTAGTATCTGGATGTGGACATTTGGAGCGCTTTCAGGCCTATGGTGAAAAAGGAAATATCTTCCCCTGAAAACTAGACAGAAGCATTCTCAGAAACTTATTTGTGATGTGCGCCCTCAACTAACAGTGTTGTAGCATTCTTTTGATAGAGCAGTTTTGAAACACTCTTTTTGTGGAATCTGCAAGTGGATATTTGTCTAGCTTTGAGGATTTCGTTGGAAACGGGATTACATATAAAAAGCAGACAGCAGCATTCTCAGTAAACTTATTTGTGATGTGCGCCCTCAACTAACAGTGTTGAACCTTTCTTTTGATAGAGCAGTTTTGAAACACTCTTTTTGTAATATCTGCAAGAGGATATTTGGATAGCTTTGAGGATTTCGTTGGAAACGGGATTGTCTTCATATAAACTCTAGACAGAAGCATTCTCGGAAGCTTCATTGGGATGTTTCAATTGAAGTCACAGTGTTGAACAGTCCCTTTCATAGAGCAGGTTTGAAACACTCTTTTTGTAGTATCTGGAAGTGGACATTTGGAGAGATCTCAGGAATACGGTGATAAAGGAAATATCTTCCAATAAAAGCTAGATAGAAGCAATGTCAGAAACTTTTTCATGATGTATCTACTCAGCTAACAGGGTTGAACCTTTCTTTTGAGAGAGCAGTTTTGAAACACTCTTTTTGTGGAATCTGCAAGTGGATATTTGTCTAGCTTTGAGGATTTCGTTGGAAACGGGATTACATATAAAAAGCAGACAGCAGCATTCCCAGAAACTTCTTTGTGATGTTTGCATTCAAGTCACAGAGTTGAACATTCCCTTTCATAGAGCAGGTTTGAAACACTCTTTTTGTAGTATCTGGATGTGGACATTTGGAGTGCTTTCAAGCCTATGGTGAAAAAGGAAATATCTTCCCCTGAAAACTAGACAGAAGCATTCTCAGAAACTTATTTGTGATGTGCGCCCTCAACTAACAGTGTTGAAGCTTTCTTTTGATAGAGCAGTTTTGAAACACTCTTTTTGTAATATCTGCAAGAGGATATTTGGATAGCTTTGAGGATTTCGTTGGAAACGGGATTGTCTTCATATAAAATCTAGACAGAAGCATTCTCAGAAGCTTCATTGGGATGTTTCAATTGAAGTCACAGTGTTGAACAGTCCCTTTCATAGAGCAGGTTTGAAACACTCTTTTTGTAGTATCTGGATGTGGACATTTCGAGCGCTTTCAGGCCTATGGTGAAAAAGGAAATATCTTCCCCTGAAAACTAGACAGAAGCATTCTCAGAAACTTATTTGTGATGTGCGCCCTCAACTAACAGTGTTGAAGCATTCTTTTGATAGAGCAGTTTTGAAACACTCTTTTTGTGGAATCTGCAAGTGGATATTTGTCTAGCTTTGAGGATTTCGTTGGAAACGGGATTACATATAAAAAGCAGACAGCAGCATTCTCAGAAACTTATTTGTGATGTGCGCCCTCAACTAACAGTGTTGAAGCTTTATTTTGATAGAGCAGTTTTGAAACACTCTTTTTGTAATATCTGCAAGAGAATATTTGGATAGCTTTGAGGATTTCGTTGGAAACGGGATTGTCTTCATATAAACTCTAGAAAGAAGCATTCTGAGAAGCTTCATTGGGATGTGTCAATTGAAGTCACAGTGTTGAACAGTTCCTTTCATAGAACAGGTTTGAAACACTCTTTTTGTAGTATCTGGAAGTGGACATTTGGAGCGCTCTTAGGACTGCGGTGAAAAAGGAACTATCTTCCAATAAAAGCTAGATAGAAGCAATGTCAGAAACTTTTTCATGATGTATCTACTCAGCTAACAGAGTTGAACCTTTCCTTTCAGAGAGCAGTTTTGAAACACTCTTTTTGTGGAATCTGCAAGTGGATATTTGTCTAGCTTTGAGGATTTCGTTGGAAACGGGATTACATATAAAAAGCAGACAGCAGCATTCCCAGAAACTTCTTTGTGATGTTTGCATTCACGTCACAGAGTTGAACATTCCCTTTCATAGAGCAGGTTTGAAACACTCTTTTTGTAGTATCTGGATGTGGACATTTGGAGCGCTTTCAGGCCTATGGTGAAAAAGGAAATATCTTCCCCTGAAAACTAGACAGAAGCATTCTCAGAAACTTATTTGTGATGTGCGCCCTCAACTAACAGTGTTGAAGCTTTCTTTTGATAGAGCAGTTTTGAAACACTCTTTTTGTAAAATCTGCAAGAGGATATTTGGATAGCTTTGAGGATTTCGTTGGAAACGGGATTGTCTTCATATAAACTCTAGACAGAAGCATTCTCAGAAGCCTCATTGGGATGTTTCAATTGAAGTCACAGTGTTGAACAGTCCCTTTCATAGAGCAGGTTTGAAACACTCTTTTTGTAGTATCTGGAAGTGGACATTTGGAGCGCTTTCAGGCCTATGGTGAAAAAGGAAATATCTTCCTCTGAAAACTAGACAGAAGCATTCTCAGAAACTTATTTGTGATGTGCGCCCTCAACTAACAGTGTTGAAGCTTTCTTTTGATAGAGCAGTTTTGAAACACTCTTTTTGTGGAATCTGCAAGTGGATATTTGTCTAGCTTTGAGGATTTCGTTGGAAACGGGATTACATATAAAAAGCAGACAGCAGCATTCTCAGTAAACTTATTTGTGATGTGCGCCCTCAACTAACAGTGTTGAACCTTTCTTTTGATAGAGCAGTTTTGAAACACTCTTTTTGTAATATCTGCAAGAGGATATTTGGATAGCTTTGAGGATTTCGTTGGAAACGGGATTGTCTTCATATAAACTCTAGACAGAAGCATTCTCAGAAGCTTCATTGGGATGTTTCAATTGAAGTCACAGTGTTGAACAGTCCCTTTCATAGAGGAGGTTTGAAACACTCTTTTTGTAGTATCTGGAAGTGGACATTTGGAGTGATCTCAGGAATACGGTGATAAAGGAAATATCTTCCAATAAAAGCTAGATAGAAGCAATGTCAGAAACTTTTTCATGATGTATCTACTCAGCTAACAGAGTTGAACCTTTCTTTTGAGAGAGCAGTTTTGAAACACTCTTTTTGTGGAATCTGCAAGTGGATATTTGTCTAGCTTTGAGGATTTCGTTGGAAACGGGATTACATATAAAAAGCAGACAGCAGCATTATCAGAAACTTCTTTGTGATGTTTGCATTCAAGTCACAGAGTTGAACATTCCCTTTCATAGAGCAGGTTTGAAACACTCTTTTTGTAGTATCTGGATGTGGACATTTGGAGCGCTTTCAGGCCTATGGTGAAAAAGGAAATATGTTCCCCTGAAAACTAGACAGAAGCATTCTCAGAAACTTATTTGTGATGTGCGCCCTCAACTAACAGTGTTGAAGCTTTCTTTTGATAGAGCAGTTTTGAAACACTCTTTTTGTAAAATCTGCAAGAGGATATTTGGATAGCTTTGAGGATTTCGTTGGAAACGGGATTGTCTTCATATAAACTCTAGACAGAAGCATTCTCAGAAGCTTCATTGGGATGTTTCAATTGAAGTCACAGTGTTGAACAGTCCCTTTCATAGAGCAGGTTTGAAACACTCTTTTTGTAGTATCTGGATGTGGACATTTGGAGCGCTTTCAGGCCTATGGTGAAAAAGGAAATATCTTCCCCTGAAAACTAGACAGAAGCATTCTCAGAAACTTATTTGTGATGTGCCCCCTCAACTAACAGTGTTGAAGCTTTCTTTTGATAGAGCAGTTTAGAAACACTCTTTTTGTGGAATCTGCAAGTGGATATTTGTGCTAGCTTTGAGGATTTCGTTGGAAACGGGATTACATATAAAAAGCAGACAGCAGCATTCTCAGAAACTTATTTGTGATGTGCGCCCTCAACTAACAGTGTTGAAGCTTTATTTTGATAGAGCAGTTTTGAAACACTCTTTTTGTAATATCTGCAAGAGAATATTTGGATAGCTTTGAGGATTTCGTTGGAAACGGGATTGTCTTCATATAAACTCTAGAAAGAAGCATTCTCAGAAGCTTCATTGGGATGTTTCAATTGAAGTCTCAGTGTTGAACAGTCTCTTTCATAGAGCAGGTTTGAAACACTCTTTTTGTAGTATCTGGAAGTGGACATTTGGAGAGATCTCAGGAATACGGTGATAAAGGAAATATCTTCCAATAAAAGCTAGATAGAAGCAATGTCAGAAACTTTTTCATGATGTATCTACTCAGCGAACAGAGTTGAACCTTTCTTTTGAGAGAGCAGTTTTGAAACACTCTTTTTGTGGAATCTGGAAGTGGATATTTGTCTAGCTTTGAGGATTTCGTTGGAAACGGGATTACATATAAAAAGCAGACAGCAGCATTCCCGGTAACTTCTTTGTGATGTTTGCATTCAAGTCACAGGAGTTGAACATTCCCTTTCATACAGCAGGTTTGAAACACTCTTTTTGTAGTATCTGGATGTGGACATTTGGAGCGCTTTCAGGCCTATGGTAAAAAAGGAAATATCTTCCCCTGAAAACTAGACAGAAGCATTCTCAGTAATCTTATTTGTGATGTGCGCCCTCAACTAGCAGTGTTGAACCTTTCTTTTGATAGAGCAGTTTTGAAACACTCTTTTTGTAAAATCTGCAAGAGGATATTTGGATAGCTTTGAGGATTTCGCTGGAAACGGGATTGTCTTCATATAAACTCTAGACAGAAGCATTCTCAGAAGCGTCATTGGGATGTTTCAATTGAAGTCACAGTGTTGAACAGTCCCTTTCATAGAGCAGGTTTGAAACACTCTTTTTGTAGTATCTGGATGTGGACATTTGGAGCGCTTTCAGGCCTATGGTTTAAGAGGAAATATCTTCCCCTGAAAACTAGACAGAAGCATTCTCAGAAACTTATTTGTGATGTGCGCCCTCAACTAACAGTGCTGAAGCATTCTTTTGATAGAGCAGTTTTGAAACACTCTTTTTGTGGAATCTGGAAGTGGATATTTGTCTAAATTTGAGGATTTCGTTGGAAACGGGATTACATATAAAAAGCAGACAGCAGCATTCTCAGTAAACTTATTTGTGATGTGCGCCCTCAACTAACAGTGTTGAACCTTTCTTTTGATAGAGCAGTTTTGAAACACTCTTTTTGTAATATCTGCAAGAGGATATTTGGATAGCTTTGAGGATTTCGTTGGAAACGGGATTGTCTTCATATAAACTCTAGACAGAAGTATTCTCAGAAGCTTCATTGGGATGTTTCAATTGAAGTCACAGTGTTGAACAGTCCCTTTCATAGAGCAGGTTTGAAACACTCTTTTTGTAGTATCTGGAAGTGGACATTTGGAGCGCTCTCAGGACTACAGTGAAAAAGGAAATATCTTCCAATAAAAGCTACATAGAAGCAATGTCAGAAACTTTTTCATGATGTATCTACTCAGCTAACAGAGTTGAACCTTTCCTTTGAGAGAGCAGTTTTGAAACACTCTTTTTGTGGAATCTGCAAGTGGATATTTGTCTAGCTTTGAGGATTTCGTTGGAAACGGGATTACATATAAAAAGCAGACAGCAGCATTCCCAGAAACTTCTTTGTGATGTTTGCATTCAAGTCACAGAGTTGAATATTCCCTTTCATAGAGCAGGTTTGAAACACTCTTTTTGTAGTATCTGGATGTGGACATTTGGAGCGCTCTCAGGCCTATGGTGAAAAAGGAAATATCTTCCCCTGCAAACTAGACAGAAGCATTCTCAGAATCTTATTTGTGATGTGCGCCCTCAACTAACAGTGTTGAAGCTTTCTTTTGATAGAGCAGTTTTGAAACACTCTTTTTGTAAAATCTGCAAGAGGATATTTGGATAGCTTTGAAGATTTCGTTGGAAACGGGATTGTCTTCATATAAACTCTAGACAGAAGCATTCTCAGAAGCGTCATTGGGATGTTTCAATTGAAGTCACAGTGTTGAACAGTCCCTTTCATAGAGCAGGTTTGAAACACTCTTTTTGTAGTATCTGGATGTGGACATTTGGAGCGCTTTCAGGCCTATGGTTTAAAAGGAAATATCTTCCCCTGAAAACTAGACAGAAGCATTCTCAGAAACTTATTTGTGATGTGCGCCCTCAACTAACAGTGTTGAAGCATTCTTTTGATAGAGCAGTTTTGAAACACTGTTTTTGTGGAATCTGGAAGTGGATATTTGTCTAGCTTTGAGGATTTCGTTGGAAACGGGATTACATATAAAAAGCAGACAGCAGCATTCTCAGTAAACTTATTTGTGATGTGCGCCCTCAACTAACAGTGTTGAACCTTTCTTTTGATAGAGCAGTTTTGAAACACTCTTTTTGTAATATCTGCAAGAGGATATTTGGATAGCTTTGAGGATTTCGTTGGAAACGGGATTGTCTTCATATAAACTCTAGACAGAAGCATTCTCAGAAGCTTCATTGGGATGTTTCAATTGAAGTCACAGTGTTGAACAGTCCCTTTCATAGAGCAGGTTTGAAACACTCTTTTTGTAGTATCTGGAAGTGGCCTTTTGGAGCGCTCTCAGGACTACGGTGATAAAGGAAATATCTTCCAATAAAAGCTAGATAGAAGCAATGTCAGAAACTTTTTCATGATATATCTACTCAGCTAACAGAGTTGAACCTTTCTTTTGAGAGACCAGTTTTGAAACACTCTTTTTGTGGAATGTGCAAGTGGATATTTGTCTAGATTTGAGGATTTCGTTGGAAACGGGATTACTTATAAAAAGCAGACAGCAGCATTCCCAGTAACTTCTTTGTGATGTTTGCATTCAAGTCACAGAGTTGAACATTCCCTTTCATAGAGCAGGTTTGAAACACTCTTTTTGTAGTATCTGGATGTGGACATTTGGAGCGCTTTCAGGCCTATGGTGAAAAAGGAAATATCTTCCCCTGAAAACTAGACAGAAGCATTCTCAGAATCTTATTTGTGATGTGCGCCCTCAACTAACAGTGTTGAAGCTTTCTTTTGATAGAGCAGTTTTGAAACACTCTTTTTGTTAAATCTGCAACAGGATATTTGGATAGCTTTGAGGATTTCGTTGGAAACGGGATTGTCTTCATATAAACTCTAGACAGAAGCAATGTCAGAAACTTTTTCATGATGTATCTACTCAGCTAACAGAGTTGAACCTTTCTTTTGAGAGTGCAGTTTTGAAACACTCTTTTTGTGCAATCTGCAAGTGGATATTTGTCTAGCTTTGAGGATTTCGTTGGAAACGGGATTACATATAAAAAGCAGACAGCAGCATTCCCAGAATCTTCTTTGTGATGTTTGCATTCAAGTCACAGAGTTGAACATTCCCTTTCATAGAGCCGGTTTGAAACACTCTTTTTGTAGTATCTGGATGTGGACATTTGGAGCGCTTTCAGGCCTATGGTGAAAAAGGAAATATCTTCCCCTGAAAACTAGACAGAAGCATTCTCAGGAATCTTATTTGTGATGTGCGCCCTCAACTAACAGTGTTGAAGCTTTCTTTTGATAGAGCAGTTTTGAAACACTCTTTTTGTAAAATCTGCAAGAGGATATTTGGATAGCTTTAAGGATTTCGTTGGAAACGGGATTGTCTTCATATAAACTCTAGACAGAAGCATTCTCAGAAGCTTCATTGGGATGTTTCAATTGAAGTCACAGTGTTGAACAGTCCCTTTCATAGAGCAGGTTTGAAACACTCTTTTTGTAGTATCTGGAACTGGACATTTGGAGAGATCTCAGGAATACGGTGATAAAGGAAATATCTTCCAATAAAAGCTAGGTAGAAGCAATGTCAGAAACTTTTTCATGATGTATCTACTCAGCTAACAGAGTTGAACCTTTCTTTTGAGAGAGCAGTTTTGAAACACTCTTTTTGTGGAATCTGCAAGTGGATATTTGTCTAGCTTTGAGGATTTCGTTGGAAACGGGATTACATATAAAAAGCAGACAGCGGCATTCCCAGAAACTTCTTTGTGATGTTTGCATTCAAGTCACAGAGTTGAACATTCCCTTTCATAGAGCAGGTTTGAAACACTCTTTTTGTAGTATCTGGATGTGGACATTTACAGCGCTTTCAGGCCTAAGGTGAAAAAGGAAATATCTTCCCCTGAAAACTAGACAGAAGCATTCTCAGAATCTTATTTGTGATGTGCACCCTCAACTAACAGTGTTGAAGCTTTCTTTTGATAGAGCAGTTTTGAAACACTCTTTTTGTAAAATCTGCAAGAGGATATTTGGATAGCTTTGAGGATTTCGTTGGAAACGGGATTGTCTTCATATAAACTCTAGACAGAAGCATTCTCAGAAGCTTCATTGGGATGTTTCAATTGAAGTCACAGTGTTGAACAGTCCCTTTCATAGAGCAGGTTTGAAACACTCTTTTTGTAGTATCTGGAAGTGGACATTTGGAGAGATCTCAGGAATACGGAGAAAAAGGAAATATCTTCTCCTGAAAACTAGACAGAAGCATTCCCAGAAACTTCTTTGTGATGTTTGCATTCAAGTCACAGAGTTGAACTTTCCCTTTTATAGAGCAGGTTTGAAACACTCTTTTTGTAGTATCTGGATGTGGACATTTGGAGCGCTTTCAGGCCTATGGTGAAAAAGGAAATATCTTCCCCTGAAAACTAGACAGAAGCATTCTCAGAAACTTATTTGTGATGTGCGCCCTCAACTAACAGTGTTGAACCTTTCTTTTGATAGAGCAGTTTTGAAACACACTTTTTGTAATATCTGCAAGAGGATATTTGGATAGCTTTGAGGATTTCTTTGGAAACGGGATTGTCTTCATATAAACTCTAGACAGAAGCATTCTCAGAAGCTTCATTGGGATGTTTCAATTGAAGTCACAGTGTTGAACAGTCCCTTTCATAGAGCAGGTTTGAAACACTCTTTTTGTAGTATCTGGAAGTGGACATTTGGACAGTTCTCAGGAATACGGTGATAAAGGAAATATCTTCCAATAAAAGCTAGATAGAAGCAATGTCAGAAACTTTTTCATGATGTATCTACTCAGCTAACAGAGTTGAAGCTTTCTTTTGAGAGAGCAGTTTTAAAACACTCTTTTTGTGGAATCTGGAAGTGGATATTTGTCTAGCTTTGAGGATTTCGTTGGAAACGGGATTACATGTAAAAAGCAGACAGCAGCATTCCCAGTAACTTCTTTGTGATGTTTGCATTCAAGTCACAGAGTTGAACATTCCCTTTCATAGAGCAGGTTTGAAACACTCTTTTTGTAGTATCTGGATGTGGACATTTGGAGCGCTTTCAGGCCTATGGTGAAAAAGGAAATATCTTCCCCTGAAAACTAGACAGAAGAATTCTCAGAATCTTATTTGTGATGTGCGCCCTCAACTAACAGTCTTGAAGCTTTCTTTTGATAGAGCAGTTTTGAAACACTCTTTTTGTAAAATCTGCAAGAGGATATTTGGATAGCTTTGAGGATTTCGTTGGAAACGGGATTGTCTTCATATAAACTCTAGACAGAAGCATTCTCAGAAGCTTCATTGGGATGTTTCAATTGAAGTCACAGTGTTGAACAGTCCCTTTCATAGAGCAGGTTTGAAACACTCTTTTTGTAGTATCTGGATGTGGACATTTGGAGCGCTTTCAGGCCTATGGTGAAAAAGGAAATATCTTCCCCTGAAAACTAGACAGAAGCATTCTCAGAAACTTATTTGTGATGTGCGCCCTCAACTAACAGTGTTGAAGCTTTCTTTTGATAGAGCAGTTTTGAAACACTCTTTTTGTAATATCTGCAAGAGGATATTTGGATAGCTTTGAGGATTTCGTTGGAAACGGGATTAATTATAAAAAGCAGACAGCTAAGCATTCTCCGAAACTTATTTGTGATGGGCGCCCTCAACTAACAGTGTTGAAGCTTTCTTTTGATAGAGCAGTTTTGAAACACTCTTTTTGTAATATCTGCAAGAGGATATTTGGATAGCTTTCAGGATTTCGTTGGAAACGGGATTGTCTTCATATAAACTCTAGACATAAGCATTCTCAGAAGCTTCATTGGGATGTTGCAATTGAAGTCACAGTGTTGAACAGTCCCTTTCATAGAGCAGGTTTGAAACACTCTTTTTGTAGTATCTGGAAGTGGACATTTGGAGAGTTCTCAGGAATATGGTCAAAAAGGAAATATCTTCCAATAAAAGCTAGATAGAAGCAATGTCAGAAACTTTTTCATGACGTATCTACTCAGCTAACAGAGTTGAACCTTTCTTTTGAGAGAGCAGTTTTGAAACACTCTTTTTGTGGAATCTGCAAGTGGATATTTGTCTAGCTTTGAGGATTTCGTTGGAAACGGGATTACATATAAAAAGCAGACAGCAGCATTAACAGAAACTTCTTTGTGAAGTTTGCATTGAAGTCACAGAGTTGAACATTCCCTTTCATAGAGCAGGTTTGAAACACTCTTTTTGTAGTATCTGTATGTGGACATTTGGAGCGCTTTCAGGCCTATGGTGAAAAAGGAAATATCTTCCCCTGAAAACTAGACAGAAGCATTCTCAGAATCTTATTTGTGATGTGCGCCCTCAACTAACAGTGTTGAAGCTTTCTTTTGATAGAGCAGTTTTGAAACGCTCTTTTTGTAAAATCTGCAAGAGGATATTTGGATAGCTTTGAGGATTTCGTTGGAAACGGGATTGTCTTCATATAAACTCTAGACAGAAGCATTCTCAGAAGCTTCATTGGGATGTTTCAATTGAAGTCACAGTGTTGAACAGTCCCTTTCATAGAGCAGGTTTGAAACACTCTTTTTGTAGTATCTGGATGTGGACATTTGCAGCGCTTTCAGGCCTAAGGTGAAAAAGGAAGTATCTTCCCCTGAAAACTAGACAGAAGCATTCTCAGAAACTTATTTGTGATGTGCGCCCTCAACTAACAGTGTTGAAGCTTTCTTTTGATAGAGCAGTTTTGAAACACTCTTTTTGTAATATCTGCAAGAGGATATTTGGATAGCTTTGAGGATTTCATTGGAAACGGGATTGTCTTCATATAAACTCTAGACAGAAGCATTCTCAGAAGCTTCATTGGGATGTTTCAATTGAAGTCACAGTGTTGAACAGTTCCTTTCATAGAACAGGTTTGAAACACTCTTTTTGTAGTATCTGGAAGTGGACATTTGGAGCGCTCTCAGGACTATGGTGAAAAAGGAAATATCTTCCAATAAAAGCTACATAGAAGCAATGTCAGAAAGTTTTTCATGATGTATCTACTCAGCTAGCAGAGTTGAACCATTCTTTTGAGAGAGCCGTTTTGAAACACTCTTTTTGTGGAATTTGCAAGTGGATACTTGTCTAGCTTTGAGGATTGCGTTGGAAACGGGATTACATATAAAAAGCAGAGAGCAGCATTCCCAGAAAGTTCTTTGTGAAATTTGCATTCAAGTCACAGACTTGAACATTCCCTTTCATAGAGCAGGTTTGAAACACTCTTTTTGTAGTATCTGGAAGTGGACATTTGTAGGGTTCTCAGGACTACGGTGAAAAAGGAAATATCTTCCAATAAAAGCTAGATAGAAGCATTCTCAGAATGTTATTTGTTATGTGCGCCCTCAACTAACAGTGTTGAAGCTTTCTTTTGATAGAGCAGTTTTGAAACACTCTTTTTATAAAATCTGCAAGAGGAGATTTGGATAGCTTTGAGGATTTCCTTTGGAAACGGGATTGTCTTCATATAAACTCTAGACAGAAGCATTCTCAGAAGCGTCATTGGGATGTTTCAATTGAAGTCACAGTGTTGAACAGTCCCTTTCATAGAGCAGGTTTGAAACACTCTTTTTGTAGTATCTGGATGTGGACATTTGGAGCGCTTTCAGGCCTATGGTTTAAAAGGACATATCTTCCCCTGAAAACTAGACAGAAGCATTCTCAGAAACTTATTTGTGATGTGCGCCCTCATCTAACAGTGTTGAAGCTTTCTTTTGATAGAGCAGTTTTGAAACACTCTTTTTATGGAATCTGCAAGAGGATATTTGTCTAGCTTTGAGGATTTCGTTGGAAACGGGATTACATATAAAAAGCAGACAGCAGCATTCTCAGAATCTTATTTGTGATGTGCGCCCTCAACTAACAGTGTTGAAGCTTTCTTTTGATAGAGCAGTTTTGAAACACTCTTTTTGTAAAATCTGCAAGAGGATATTTGGATAGTTTTGAGGATTTCGTTGGAAACGGGATTGTCTTCATACAGAATCTAGACAGAAGCATTCTCAGAAGCTTCATTGTGATGTTTCAATTGAAGTCACAGTGTTGAACAGTCCCTTTCATATAGCAGGTTTGAAACACTCTTTTTGTAGTATCTGGAAGTGGACATTTTGAGCGCTCTCAGGACTACGGTGAAAAAGGAAATATCTTCCAATAAAAGCTAGATAGAAGCAATGTCAGAAACTTTTTCATGATGTATCTACTCAGCTAACAGAGTTGAACCTTTCTTTTGAGAGAGCAGTTTTGAAACACTCTTTTTGTGGAATCTGCAAGTGGATATTTGTCTAGCTTTGAGGATTTCGTTGAAAACGGGATTACATATAAAAAGCAGACAGCAGCATTCCCAGAAACTTCTTTGTGATGTTTGCATTCAAGTCACAGAGTTGAACATTCCCTTTCATAGAGCAGGTTTGAAACACTCTTTTTGTAGTATCTGGATGTGGACATTTGGAGCGCTTTCAGGCCTATGGTGAAAAAGGAAATATCTTCCCCTGAAAACTAGACAGAAGCATTCTCAGAATCTTATTTGTGATGTGCGCCCTCAACTAACAGTGTTGAAGCTTTTTTTTGATAGAGCAGTTTTGAAACACTCTTTTTGTAAAATCTGTAAGAGGATATTAGGATAGCTTTGAGGATTTCGTTGGAAACGGGATTGTCTTCATATAAACTCTAGACAGAAGCATTCTCAGAAGCTTCATTGGGATGTTTCAATTGAAGTCACAGTGTTGAACAGTCCCTTTGATAGAGCAGGTTTGAAACACTCTTTTTGTAGTATCTGGATGTGGACATTTGCAGCGCTTTCAGGCATAAGGTGAAAAAGGAAATATCTTCCCCTGAAAACTAGACAGAAGCATTCTCAGAAACTTATTTGTGATGTGCGCCCTCAACTAACAGTGTTGAAGCTTTCTTTTGATAGAGCAGTTTTGAAACACTCTTTTTGTGGAATCTGCAAGAGGATATTTGTCTAGCTTTGAGGATTTCGTTGGAAACGGGATTACATATAAAAAGCAGACAGCAGCATTCTCAGAAACTTATTTGTGATGTGCGCCCTCAACTAACAGTGTTGAAGCTTTCTTTTGATAGAGCAGTTTTGAAACACTCTTTTTGTAATATCTGCAAGAGGATATTTGGATAGCTTTGAGGATTTCGTTGGAAACGGGATTAATTATACAAAGCAGACAGCAGCATTCTCAGAAGCTTCATTGGGATGTTTCAGTTGAAGTCACAGTGTTGAACAGTCCGTTTCATAGAGCAGGTTTGAAACACTCTTTTTGTAGTATCTGGAAGTGGACATTTGGAGCGCTCTCAGGACTGCGGTGAAAAAGGAAATATCTTCCAATAAAAGCTACATAGAAGCAATGTCAGAAACTTTTTCATGATGTATCTACTCAGCTAACAGAGTTGAACCTTTCCTTTGAGAGAGCAGTTTTGAAACACTCTTTTTGTGGAATCTGCAAGTGGATATTTGTCTAGCTTTGAGGATTTCGTTGGAAACGGGATTACATATAAAAAGCAGACAGCAGCATTCCCAGAAACTTCTTTGTGATGTTTGCATTCAAGTCACAGAGTTGAACATTCCCTTTCATAGAGCAGGTTTGAAACACTCTTTTTGTAGTATCTTGATGTGGACATTTGCAGCGCTTTCAGGCCTAAGGTGAAAAAGGAAATATCTTCCCCTGAAAACTAGACAGAAGCATTCTCAGAAACTTATTTGTGATGTGCGCCCTCAACTAACAGTGTTGAAGCTTTCTTTTGATAGAGCAGTTTTGAAACACTCTTTTTGTAATATCTGCAAGAGGATATTTGGATAGCTTTGAGGATTTCGTTGGAAACGGGATTGTCTTCATATAAACTCTAGACAGAAGCATTCCCAGAAACTTCTTTGTGATGTTTGCATTCACGTCACAGAGTTGAACATTCCCTTTCATAGAGCAGGTTTGTAACACTCTTTTTGTAGTATCTGGATGTGGACATTTGGAGCGCTTTCAGGCCTATGGTGAAAAAGGAAATATCTTCCCCTGAAAACTAGACAGAAGCATTCTCAGAAACTTATTTGTGATGTGCGCCCTCAACTAACAGTGTTGAAGCTTTCTTTTGATAGAGCAGTTTTGAAACACTCTTTTTGTAATATCTGCAAGAGAATATTTGGATAGCTTTGAGGATTTCGTTGGAAACGGGATTAATTATAAAAAGCAGACAGCAGCATTCTCAGTAAACTTATTTGTGATGTGCGCCCTCAACTAACAGTGTTGAACCTTTCTTTTGATAGAGCAGTTTTGAAACACTCTTTTTGTAATATCTGCAAGAGGATATTTGGATAGCTTTGAGGATTTCGTTGGAAACGGGATTGTCTTCATATAAACTCTAGACAGAAGCATTCTCAGAAGCTTCATTGGGATGTTTCAGTTGAAGTCACAGTGTTCAACAGTCCCTTTCATAGAGCAGGTTTGAAACACTCTTTTTGTAGTATCTGGAAGTGGACATTTGGAGCGCTCTCAGGACTGCGGTGAAAAAGGAAATATCTTCCAATACAAGCTACATAGAAACAATGTCAGAAACTTTTTCATGATGTATCTACTCAGCTAACAGAGTTGAACCTTCCTTTGAGAGAGCAGTTTTGAAACACTCTTTTTGTGGAATCTGCAAGTGGATATTTGTCTAGCTTTGAGGATTTCGTTGGAAACGGGATTACATATAAAAAGCAGACAGCAGCATTCCCAGAATCTTGTTTGTGATCTTTGCATTCAAGTCACAGAGTTCAACATTCCCTTTCAGAGAGCAGGTTTGAAACACTCTTTTTATAGTATCTGGATGTGGACATTTGGAGCGCTTTCAGGCCTATGGTGAAAAAGGAAATATCTTCTCCTGAAAACTAGACAGAAGCATTCTCAGAAACTTATTTGTGATGTGCGCCCTCAACTAACAGTGTTGAAGCTTTCTTTTGATAGAGCAGTTTTGAAACACTCTTTTTGTAATATCTGCAAGAGGATATTTGGATAGCTTTGAGGATTTCGTTGGAAACGGGATTGTCTTCATATAAACTCTAGACAGAAGCATTCTCAGATGCTTCATTGGGATGTTTCAATTGAAGTCACAGTGTTGAACAGTCCCTTTCATAGAGCAGGTTTGAAACACTCTTTTTGTAGTATCTGGATGTGGACATTTGGAGCGCTTTCAGGCCTATGGTAAAAAAGGAAATATCTTCCCCTGAAAACTAGACAGAAGCATTCTCAGAAACTTATTTGTGATGTGCGCCCTCAACTAACAGTGTTGAAGCATTCTTTTGATAGAGCAGTTTTGAAACACTCTTTTTGTGGAATCTGCAAGTGGATATTTGTCTAGCTTTGAGGATTTCGTTGGAAACGGGATTACATATGAAAAGCAGACAGCTAAGCATTCTCCGAAACTTATTTGTGATGGGCGCCCTCAACTAACAGTGTTGAAGCTTTCTTTTGATAGAGCAGTTTTGAAACACTCTTTTTGTAATATCTGCAAGAGGATATTTGGATAGCTTTCAGGATTTCGTTGGAAACGGGATTGTCTTCATATAAACTCTAGACATAAGCATTCTCAGAAGCTTCATTGGGATGTTTCAATTGAAGTCACAGTGTTGAACAGTCCCTTTCATAGAGCAGGTTTGAAACACTCTTTTTGTAGTATCTGGAAGTGGACATTTGGAGAGATCTCAGGAATACGGTGATAAAGGAAATATCTTCCAATAAAAGCTAGATAGAAGCAATGTCAGAAACTTTTTCATGATGTATGTACTCAGCTAAAAGAGTTGAACCTTTCTTTTGAAAGAGCAGTTTTGAAACACTCTTTTTGTGGAATCTGCAAGTGGATATTTGTCTAGCTTTGAGGATTTCGTTGGAAACGGGATTACATATAAAAAGCAGACAGCAGCATTCCCAGAAACTTCTTTGTGATGTTTGCATTCAAGTCACACAGTTGAACATTCCCTTTCATAGAGCAGGTTTGAAACACTCTTTTTGTAGTATCTGGATGTGGACATTTGGAGCGCTTTCAGGCCTATGGTGAAAAAGGAAATATCTTCCCCTGAAAACTAGACAGAAGCATTCTCAGAATCTTATTTGTGATGTGCGCCCTCAACTAACAGTGTTGAAGCTTTCTTTTGATAGAGCAGTTTTGAAACACTCTTTTTGTAAAATCTGCAAGAGGATATTTGGATAGCTTTGAGGATTTCGTTGGAAACGGGATTGTCTTCATATAAACTCTAGTCAGAAGAATTCTCAGAAGCTTCATTGGGATGTTTCAATTGAAGTCACAGTGTTGAACAGTCCCTTTCATAGAGCAGGTTTGAAACACTCTTTTTGTAGTATCTGGATGTGGACATTTAGAGCGTTTGCAGGCCTATGGTTTAAAAGGAAATATCTTCCCCTGAAAACTAGACAGAAGCATTCTCAGAAACTTATTTGTGATGTGCGCCCTCAACTAACAGTGTTGAAGCATTCTTTGGATAGAGCAGTTTTGAAACACTCTTTTTGTGGAATCTGCAAGTGGATATTTGTCTAGCTTTGAGGATTTCGTTGGAAACGGGATTACATATAAAAAGCAGACAGCAGCATTCTCAGAAACTTATTTGTGATGTGCGCCCTCAACTAACAGTGTTGAAGCTTTATTTTGATAGAGCAGTTTTGAAACACTCTTTTTGTAATATCTGCAAGAGAATATTTGGATAGCTTTGAGGATTTCGTTGGAAACGGGATTGTCTTCATATAAACTCTAGAAAGAAGCATTCTCAGAAGCTTCTTTGGGATGTTTCAATTGAAGTCACAGTGTTGAACATTTCCTTTCATAGAACAGGTTTGAAACACTCTTTTTGTAGTATCTGGAAGTGGACATTTGGAGCGCTCTCAGGACTATGGTGAAAAAGGAAATATCTTCCAATAAAAGCTACATAGAAGCAATGTCAGAAACTTTTTCATGATGTATCTACTCAGCTAACAGAGTTGAACCTTTCTTTTGAGAGAGCAGTATTGAAACACTCTTTTTGTGGAATCTGCAAGTGGATATTTTTCCAGCTTTGAGGATTTCGTTGGAAACGGGATTACATATAAAAAGCAGACAGCAGCATTCCCAGAAACTTCTTTGTGATGTTTGCATTCAAGTCACACAGTTGAACATTCCCTTTCATAGAGCAGGTTTGAAACACTCTTTTTGTAGTATCTGGATGTGGACATTTGGAGCGCTTTCAGGTCTATGGTGAAAAAGGAAATATCTTCCCCTGAAAACTAGACAGAAGCATTCTCAGAAACTTATTTGTGATGTGCGCCCTCAACTAACACTGTTGAACCTTTCTTTTGATAGAGCAGTTTTGAAACACTCTTTTTGTATTATCTGCAAGAGGATATTTGGATAGCTTTGAGGATTTCGTTGGAAACGGGATTGTCTTCATATAAACTCTAGACAGAAGCATTCTCAGAAGCTTCATTGGGATGTTTCAATTGAAGTCACAGTGTTGAACAGTCCCTTTCATAGAGCAGGTTTGAAACACTCTTTTTGTAGTATCTGGATGTGGACATTTGGAGCGCTTTCAGGCCTATGGTGAAAAAGGAAATATCTTCCCCTGAAAACTACACAGAAGCATTCTCAGAAACTTATTTGTGATGTGCGCCCTCAACTAACAGTGTTGAAGCATTCTTTTGATAGAGCAGTTTTGAAACACTCTTTTTGTGGAATCTGCAAGTGGATATTTGTCTAGCTTTGAGGATTTCGTTGGAAACGGGATTACATATAAAAAGCAGACAGCTAAGCATTCTCCGAAACTTATTTGTGATGGGCGCCCTCAACTAACAGTGTTGAAGCTTTCTTTTGATAGAGCAGTTTTGAAACACTCTTTTTGTAATATCTGCAAGAGGATATTTGGATAGCTTTCAGGATTTCGTTGGAAACGGGATTGTCTTCATATAAACTCTAGACATAAGCATTCTCAGAAGCTTCATTGGGATGTTTCAATTGAAGTCACAGTGTTTAACAGTCCCTTTCATAGAGCAGGTTTGAAACACTCTTTTTGTAGTATCTGGAAGTGGACATTTGGAGCGCTCTCAGGACTGCGGTGAAAAAGGAAATATCTTCCAATAAAAGCTGCATAGAAGCAATGTCAGAAACTTTTTCATGATGTATCTACTCAGCTAACAGAGTTGAACCTTTCCTTTGAGAGAGCAGTTTTGAAACACTCTTTTTGTGGAATCTGCAAGTGGATATTTGTCTAGCTTTGAGGATTTCGTTGGAAACGGGATTACATATAAAAAGCAGACAGCAGCATTCCCAGAAACTTCTTTGTGATGTTTGCATTCACGTCACAGAGTTGAACATTCCTTTTCATAGAGCAGGTTTGAAACACTCTTTTTGTAGTATCTGGATGTGGACATTTGGAGCGCTTTCAGGCCAATGGTGAAAAAGGAAATATCTTCCCCTGAAAACTAGACAGAAGCATTCTCAGAATCTTATTTGTGATGTGCGCCCTCAACTAACAGTGTTGAAGCTTTCTTTTGATAGAGCAGTTTTGAAACACTCTTTTTGTAAAATCTGCAAGAGGATATTTGGATAGCTTTGAGGATTTCGTTGGAAACGGGATTGTCTTCATATAAACTCTAGACAGAAGCATTCTCAGAAGCTTCATTGGGATGTTTCAATTGAAGTCACAGTGTTGAACAGTCCCTTTCATAGAGCAGGTTTGAAACACTCTTTTTGTAGTATCTGGATGTGGACATTTGGAGCGCTTTCAGGCCTATGGTGAAAAAGGAAATATCTTCCCCTGAAAACTAGAGAGAAGCATTCTCAGAAACTTATTTTGATGTGCGCCCTCAAGTAACAGTGTTGAACATTTCTTTTGATAGAGCAGTTTTGAAACACTCTTTTTGTAGAATCTGCAAGTGGATATTTGGATAGCCTAGAGGATTTCGTTGGAAACGGGAATATGTCCATACAAAACCTAGACAGAAGCATTCTCAGAAACTTATTTGTGATGTGCGCCCTCAACTAACAGTGTTGAAGCTTTCTTTTGATAGAGCAGTTTTGAAACACTCTTTTTGTAATATCTGCAAGAGGATATTTGGATAGCTTTGAGGATTTCGTTGGAAACGGGATTAATTATACAAAGCAGACAGCAGCATTCTCAGAACCTTCATTGGGATGTTTCAATTGAAGTCACAGTGTTGAACAGTCCCTTTCATAGAGCAGGTTTGAAACACTCTTTTTGTAGTATCTGGAAGTGGACATTTGGAGCGCTCTCAGGACTACGGTGAAAAAGGAAATATCTTCCAATAAAAGCTAGATAGAAGCAATGTCAGAAACTTTTTCATGACGTATCTACTCAGCTAACAGAGTTGAACCTTTCTTTTGAGAGAGCAGTTTTGAAACACTCTTTTTGTGGAATCTGCAAGTGGATATTTGTCTAGCTTGAGGATTTCGTTGGAAACGGGATTACATATAAAAAGCAGACAGCAGCATTCCCAGAAACTTCTTTGTGATGTTTGCATTCAAGTCACACAGCTGAACATTCCCTTTCATAGAGCAGGTTTGAAACACTCTTTTTGCAGTATCTGTATGTGGACATTTGGAGCGCTTTCAGGCCTATGGTGAAAAAGGAAATATCTTCCCCTGAAAACTAGACAGAAGCATTCTCAGAAACTTATTTGTGATGTGCGCCCTCAACTAACAGTGTTGAACCTTTCTTTTGATAGAGCAGTTTTGAAACACTCTTTTTGTAATATCTGCAAGAGGATATTTGGATAGCTTTGAGGATTTCGTTGGAAACGGGATTGTCTTCATATAAACTCTAGACAGAAGCATTCTCAGAAGCTTCATTGGGATGTTTCAATTGAAGTCACAGTGTTGAACAGTCCCTTTCATAGAGCAGGTTTGAAACACTCTTTTTGTAGTATCTGGATGTGGACATTTGGAGCGCTTTCAGGCCTATGGTGAAAAAGGAAATATCTTCCCCTGAAAACTAGACAGAAGCATTCTCAGAAACTTATTTGTGATGTGCGCCCTCAACTAACAGTGTTGAAGCTTTCTTTTGATAGAGCAGTTTTGAAACACTCTTTTTGTGGAATCTGCAAGTGGATATTTGTCTAGCTTTGAGGATTTCGTTGGAAACGGGATTACATATAAAAAGCAGACAGCAGCATTCTCAGAAACTTATTTGTGATGTGCGCCCTCAACTAACAGTGTTGAAGCTTTATTTTGATAGAGCAGTTTTGAAACACTCTTTTTGTAATATCTGCAAGAGAATATTTGGATAGCTTTGAGGATTTCGTTGGAAACGGGATTGTCTTCATATAAACTCTAGAAAGAAGCATTCTCAGAAGCTTCATTGGGATGTTTCAATTGAAGTCACAGTGTTGAACAGTCCCTTTCATAGAGCAGGTTTGAAACACTCTTTTTGTAGTATCTGGAAGTGGACATTTGGAGCGCTCTCAGGACTCCGGTGAAAAAGGAAATATCTTCTAATAAAAGCTACATAGAAGCAATGTCAGAAACTTTTTCATGATGTATCTACTCAGCTAACAGAGTTGAACCTTTCTTTTGAGAGAGCAGTTTTGAAACACTCTTTTTGTGGAATCTGCAAGTGGATATTTGTCTAGCTTTGAGGATTTCGTTGGAAACGGGATTACATATAAAAAGCAGACAGCAGCATTCCCAGTAACTTCTTTGTGATGTTTGCATTCAAGTCACAGAGTTGAACATTCCCTTTCATAGAGCAGGATTGAAACACTCTTTTTGAAGTATCTGGATGTGGACATTTGGAGCGCTTTCAGGCCTATGGTGAAAAAGGAAATATCTTCCCCTGAAAACTAGACAGAAGCATTCTCAGAATTTTATTTGTGATGTGCACCCTCAACTAACAGTGTTGAAGCTTTCTTTTGATAGAGCAGTTTTGAAACACTCTTTTTGTAAAATCTGCTAGAGGATATTTGGATAGCTTTGAGGATTTCTTTGGAAACGGGATTGTCTTCATATAAACTCTAGACAGAAGCATTCTCAGAAGCTTCATTGGGATGTTTCAATTGAAGTCACAGTGTTGAACAGTCCCTTTCATAGAGCAGGTTTGAAACACTCTTTTTGTAGTATCTGGATGTGGACATTTGGAGCCTTTCAGGCCTATGGTTTAAAAGGAAATATCTTCCCCTGAAAACTAGACAGAAGCATTCTCAGAAACTTATTTGTGATGTGCGCCCTCAACTAACAGTGTTGAAGCTTTCTTTTGATAGAGCAGTTTTGAAACACTCTTTTTGTAATATCTGCAAGAGGATATTTGGATAGCTTTGAGGATTTCGTTGGAAACGGGATTAATTATAAAAAGCAGACAGCAGCATTCTCAGTAAACTTATTTGTGATGTGCGCCCTCAACTAACAGTGTTGAACCTTTCTTTTGATAGAGCAGTTTTGAAACACTCTTTTTGTAATATCTGCAAGAGGATATTTGGATAGCTTTGAGGATTTCGTTGGAAACGGGATTGTCTTCATATAAACTCTAGACAGAAGCATTCTCAGAAGCTTCATTGGGATGTTTCAATTGAAGTCACAGTGTTGAACAGTCCCTTTCATAGAGCAGGTTTGAAACACTCTTTTTGTAGTATCTGGAAGTGGACATTTGGAGCGCTCTCAGGACTACGGTGAAAAAGGAAATATCTTCCAATAAAAGCTACATAGAAGCAATGTCAGAAACTTTTTCATGATGTATCTACTCAGCTAACAGAGTTGAACCTTTCTTTTGAGAGAGCAGTTTTGAAACACTCTTTTTGTGGAATCTGCAAGTGGATATTTGTCTAGCTTTGAGGATTTCGTTGGAAACGGGATTACATATAAAAAGCAGACAGCAGCATTCCCAGAATCTTCTTTGTGATGTTTGCATTCAAGTCACAGAGTTGAACATTCCCTTTCATAGAGCAGGTTTGAAACACTCTTTTTATAGTATCTGGATGTGGACATTTGGAGCGCTTTCAGGCCTGTGGTGAAAAAGGAAATATCTTCTCCTGAAAACTAGACAGAAGCATTCTCAGAAACTTATTTGTGATGTGCGCCCTCAACTAACAGTGTTGAAGCTTTCTTTTGATAGAGCAGTTTTCAAACACTCTTTTTGTAAAATCTGCAAGAGGATATTTGGATAGCTTTGAGGATTTCGTTGGAAACGGGATTGTCTTCATATAAAATCTAGACAGAAGCATTCTCAGAAGCGTCATTGGGATGTTTCAATTGAAGTCACAGTGTTGAACAGTCCCTTTCATAGAGCAGGTTTGAAACACTCTTTTTGTAGTATCTGGATGTGGACATTTGGAGCGCTTTCAGGCCTATGGTTTAAAAGGAAATATCTTCCCCTGAAAATTAGACAGAAGCATTCTCAGAAACTTATTTGTGATGTGCGCCCTCAACTAACAGTGTTGAACCTTTCTTTTGATAGAGCAGTTTTGAAACACTCTTTTTGTAATATCTGCAAGAGGATATTTGGATAGCTTTGAGGATTTCGTTGGAAACGGGATTACATATAAAAAGCAGACAGCAGCATTCTCAGTAAACTTATTTGTGATGTGCGCCCTCAACTAACAGTGTTGAACCTTTCTTTTGATAGAGCAGTTTTGAAACACTCTTTTTGTAATATCTGCAAGAGGATATTTGGATAGCTTTGAGGATTTCGTTGGAAACGGGATTGTCTTCATATAAACTCTAGACAGAAGCATTCTCAGAAGCTTCATTGGGATGTTTCAATTGAAGTCGCAGTGTTGAACAGTCCCTTTCATAGAGCAGGTTTGAAACACTCTTTTTGTAGTATCTGGAAATGGACATTTGGAGAGATCTCAGGAATACGGTGATAAAGGAAATATCTTCCAATAAAAGCTAGATAGAAGCAATGTCAGAAAATTGTTCATGATGTATCTACTCAGCTAACAGAGTTGAACCTTTCTTTTGAGACAGCAGTTTTGAAACACTCTTTTGGTGGAATCTGCAAGTGGATATTTGTCTAGCTTTGAGGATTTCGTTGGAAACGGGATTACATATAAAAAGCAGACAGCAGCATTCCCAGAAACTTCTTTGTGATATTTGCCTTCAAGTTCCAGAGTTGAACATTCCCTTTCATAGAGCAGGTTTGAAACTCTGTTTTTGTAGTATCTGGATGTGGACATTTGGAGCGCTTTCAGGCCTATGGTGAAAAAGGAAATATCTTCCCCTGAAAACTAGACAGAAGCATTTTCAGAAACGTATTTGTGATGTGCGCCCTCAACTAACAGTGTTGAAGCTTTCTTTTGATAGAGCAGTTTTGAAACACTCTTTTTGTAAAATCTGCAAGAGGATATTTGGATAGCTTTGAGGATTTCGTTGGAAACGGGATTGTCTTCATATACAATCTAGACAGAAGCATTCTCAGAAGCTTCATTGGGATGTTTCAATTGAAGTCACAGTGTTGAACAGTCCCTTTGATAGAGCAGGTTTGAAACACTGTTTTTGTAGTATCTGGATGTGGACATTTGCAGCGCTTTCAGGCATAAGGTGAAAAAGGAAATATCTTCCCCTGAAAACTAGACAGAAGCATTCTCAGAAACTTATTTGTGATGTGCGCCTTCAACTAACAGTGTTGAAGCATTCTTTTGATAGAGCTGTTTTGAAACACTCTTTTTGTGGAATCTGCAAGTGGATATTTGTCTAGCTTTGAGGATTTCGTTGGAAACGGGATTACATATAAAAAGCAGACAGCAGCATTCTCAGAAACTTATTTGTGATGTGCGCCCTCAACTAACAGTGTTGAAGCTTTCTTTTGATAGAGCAGTTTTGAAACACTCTTTTTGTAATATCTGCAAGAGGATATTTGGATAGCTTTGAGGATTTCGTTGGAAACGGGATTAATTATACAAAGCAGACAGCAGCATTCTCAGAAGCTTCTTTGGGATGTTTCAATTGAAGTCACAGTGTTGAACAGTTCCTTTCATAGAACAGGTTTGAAACACTCTTTTTGTAGTATCTGGAAGTGGACATTTGGAGCGCTCTCAGGACTATGGTGAAAAAGGAAATATCTTCCAATAAAAGCTACATAGAAGCAATCTCAGAAACTTTTTCATGATGTATCTACTCAGCTAACAGAGTTGAACCTTTCTTTTGAGAGAGCAGTTTTGAAACACTCTTTTTGTGGAATCTGCAAGTGGATATTTGTCTAGATTTGAGGATTTCGTTGGAAACGGGATTACATATAAAAAGCAGACAGCAGCATTCCCAGAAACTTCTTTGTGATGTTTGCATTCAAGTCACAGAGTTGAACATTCCCTTTCATAGAGCAGGTTTGAAACACTCTTTTTGTAGTATCTGGATGTGGACATTTGCAGCGCTTTCAGGCCTAAGGTGAAAAAGGAAATATCTTCCCCTGAAAACTAGACAGAAGCATTCTCAGAATCTTATTTGTGATGTGCACCCTCAACTAACAGTGTTGAAGCTTTCTTTTGATAGAGCAGTTTTGAAACACTCTTTTTGTGAAATCTGCAAGAGGATATTTGGATAGCTTTGAGGATTTAATTGGAAACGGGATTGTCTTCATATAAACTCTAGACAGAAGCATTCTCAGAAGCTTCATTGGGATGTTTCAATTGAAGTCACAGTGTTGAACAGTCCCTTTCATAGAGCAGGTTTGAAACACTCTTTTTGTAGAATCTGGATGTGGACATTTGGAGCGCTTTCAGGCATAAGGTGAAAAAGGAAATATCTTCCCCTGAAAACTAGACAGAAGCATTCTCAGAAACTTATTTGTGATGTGCGCCCTCAACTAACAGTGTTGAAGCTTTCTTTTGATAGAGCAGTTTTGAAACACTCTTTTTGTGGAATCTGCAAGTGGATATTTGTCTAGCTTTGAGGATTTCGTTGGAAACGGGATTACATATAAAAAGCAGACAGCAGCATTCTCAGAAACTTATTTGTGATGTGCGCCCTCAACTAACAGTCTTGAAGCTTTCTTTTGATAGAGCAGTTTTGAAACACTCTTTTTGTAATATCTGCAAGAGGATATTTGGATAGCTTTGAGGATTTCGTTGGAAACGGGATTGTCTTCATATAAACTCTAGACAGAAGCATTCTCAGAAGCTTCATTGGGATGTTTCAATTGAAGTCACAGTGTTGAACAGTCCCTTTCATAGAGCAGGTTTGAAACACTCTTTTTGTAGTATCTGGAAGTGGACATTTGGAGAGATCTCAGGAATACGGTGATAAAGGAAATATCTTCCAATAAAAGCTAGATAGAAGCAATGTCAGAAACTTTTTCATGATGTACCTACTCAGCTAACAGAGTTGAACCTTTCTTTTGAGAGAGCAGTTTTGAAACACTCTTTTTGTGGAATCTGCAAGTGGATATTTGTCTAGTTTTGAGGATTTCGTTGGAAACGGGATTACATATAAAAAGCAGACAGCAGCATTCCCAGAAACTTCTTTGTGTTGTTTGCATTCAAGTCACAGAGTTGAACATTCCCTTTCATAGAGCAGGTTTGAAACACTCTTTTTGTAGCATCTGGATGTGGACATTTGCAGCGCTTTCAGGCCTAAGGTGAAAAAGGAAATATCTTCCCCTGAAAACTAGACAGAAGCATTCTCAGAATCTTATTTGTGATGTGCGCCCTCAACTAACAGTGTTGAAGCTTTCTTTTGATAGAGCAGTTTTGAAACACTCTTTTCGTAAAATCTGCAAGAGGATATTTTGATAGCTTTGAGGATTTCGTTGGAAACGGGATTGTCTTCATATAAACTCTAGACAGAAGCATTCTCAGAAGCTTCATTGGGATGTTTCAATTGAAGTCACAGTGTTGAACAGTCCCTTTCATAGAGCACGTTTGAAACACTCTTTTTGTAGTATCTGGATGTGGACATTTGGAGCGCTTTCAGGCCTAAGGTTTAAAAGGAAATATCTTCCCCTGAAAACTAGACAGAAGCATTCTCAGAAACTTATTTGTGATGTGCGCCCTCAACTAACAGTGTTGAAGCATTCTTTTGATAGAGCAGTTTTGAAACACTCTTTTTGTGGAATCTGCAAGTGGATATTTGTCTAGCTTTGAGGATTTCGTTGGAAACGGGATTACATATAAAAAGCAGACAGCAGCATTCTCAGTAAACTTATTTGTGATGTGCGCCCTCAACTAACAGTGTTGAACCTTTCTTTTGATAGAGCAGTTTTGAAACACTCTTTTTGTAATATCTGCAAGAGGATATTTGGATAGCTTTGAGGATTTCGTTGGAAACGGGATTGTCTTCATATAAACTCTAGACAGAAGCATTCTCAGAAGCTTCATTGGGATGTTTCAATTGAAGTCACAGTGTTGAACAGTCCCTTTCATAGAACAGGTTTGAAACACTCTTTTTGTAGTATCTGGAAGTGGACATTTGGAGCGCTCTCAGGACTATGGTGAAAAAGGAAATATCTTCCAATAAAAGCTACATAGAAGCAATGTCAGAAAATTTTTCATGATGTATCTACTCAGCTAACAGAGTTGAACCTTTCTTTTGAGAGAGCAGTTTTGAAACACTCTCTTTGTGGAATCTGCAAGTGGATATTTGTCTAGCTTTGAGGATTTCGTTGGAAACGGGATTACATATAAAAAGCAGACAGCAGCATTCCCAGAAACTTCTTTGTGATGTTTGCATTCAAGTCACAGAGTTGAACATTCCCTTTCATAGAGCAGGTTTGAAACCCTCTTTTTGAAGTATCTGGATTTGGACATTTGGAGCGCTTTCAGGCCTATGGTGAAAAAGGAAATATCTTCCACTGAAAACTAGACAGATAAGCATTCTCAGAATCTTATTTGTGATGTGCGCCCTCAACTAACAGTGTTGAAGCTTTCTTTTGATAGAGCAGTTTTGAAACACTCTTTTTGTAAAATCTGCAAGAGGATATTTGGATAGCTTTGAGGATTTCGTTGGAAACGGGATTGTCTTCATATAAACTCTAGACAGAAAACATTCTCAGAAGCGTCATTGGGATGTTTCAATTGAAGTCACAGTGTTGAACAGTCCCTTTCCTAGAGCAGGTTTGAAACACTCTTTTTGTAGTATCTGGATGTGGACATTTGGAGCGCTTTCAGGCCTATGGTTTAAAAGGAAATATCTTCCCCTGAAAACTAGACAGAAGCATTCTCAGAAACTTATTTGTGATGTGCGCCCTCAACTAACAAGTGTCTGAAGCTTTCTTTTGATAGAGCAGTTTTGAAACACTCTTTTTGTGGAATCTGCAAGTGGATATTTGTCTAGCTTTGAGGATTTCGTTGGAAAGGGGATTACATATAAAAAGCAGACAGCAGCATTCTCAGAATCTTATTTGTGATGTGCGCCCTCAACTAACACTGTTGAACCTTTCTTTTGATAGAGCAGTTTTGAAACACTCTTTTTGTAATATCTGCAAGAGGATATTTGGATAGCTTTGAGGATTTCGTTGGAAAGGGGATTGTCTTCATATAAACTCTAGACAGAAGCATTCTCAGAAGCTTCATTGGGATGTTTCAATTGAAGTCACAGTGTTGAACAGTCCCTTTCATAGAGCAGGTTTGAAACACTCTTTTTGTAGTATCTGGAAGTGGACATTTGGAGAGATCTCAGGAATACGGTGATAAAGGAAATATCTTCCAATAAAAGCTAGATAGAAGCATTCTCAGAAACTTATTTGTGTTGTGCGCCCTCAACTAACAGTGTTGAAGCATTCTTTTGATAGAGCAGTTTTGAAACACTCTTTTTGTGGAATCTGCAAGTGGATATTTGTCTAGCTTTGAGGATTTCGTTGGAAACGGGATTAATTATAAAAAGCAGACAGCAGCATTCCCAGAATCTTGTTTGTGATGTTTGCATTCAAGTCACAGAGTTGAACATTCCCTTTCAGAGAGCAGGTTTGAAACACTCTTTTTATAGTATCTGGATGTGGACATTTGGAGCGCTTTCAGGCCTATGATGAAAAAGGAAATATCTTCTCCTGAAAACTAGACAGAAGCATTCTCAGAATCTTATTTGTGATGTGCGCCCTCAACTAACAGTGTTGAAGCTTTCTTTTGATAGAGCAGTTTTGAAACACTCTTTTCGTAAAATCTGCAAGAGGATATTTGGATAGCTTTCAGGATTTCGTTGGAAACGGGATTGTCTTCATATAAACTCTAGACAGAAGCATTCTCAGAAGCTTCATTTGGATGTTTCAATTGAAGTCACAGTGTTGAACAGTCCCTTTCATAGAGCAGGTTTGAAACACTCTTTTTGTAGTATCTGGAAGTGGACATTTGGAGAGATCTCAGGAATACGGTGATAAAGGAAATATCTTCCAATAAAAGCTAGATAGAAGCAATGTCAGAAACTTTTTCATGATGTATCTACTCAGCTAACAGAGTTGAACCTTTCTTTTGAGAGAGCAGTTTTGAAACACTCTTTTTGTGGAATCTGCAAGTGGATATTTGTCTAGCTTTGAGGATTTCGTTGGAAACGGGATTACATATAAAAAGCAGACAGCAGCATTCCCAGTAACTTCTTTGTGATGTTTGCATTCAAGTCACAGAGTTGAACACTCCCTTTCATAGAGCAGGTTTGAAACACTTTTTTTGTAGTATCTGGATGTGGACATTTGGAGCGCTTTCAGGCCTATGGTGAAAAAGGAAATATCTTCCAATAAAAGCTACATAGAAGCATTCTCAGAAACTTATTTGTGATGTGCGCCCTCAACTAACAGTGTTGAAGCTTTCTTTTGATAGAGCAGTTTTGAAACACTCTTTTTGTAAAATCTGCAAGAGGATATTTGGATAGCTTTGAGGATTTCGGTGGAAACGGGATTGTCTTCATATAAACTCTAGACAGAAGCATTCTCAGAAGCTTCATTGGGATGTTTCAATTGAAGTCACAGTGTTGAACAGTCCCTTTCATAGAGCAGGTTTGAAACACTCTTTTTGTAGTATCTGGATGTGGACATTTGGAGCGCTTTCAGGCCTATGGTTTAAAAGGAAATATCTTCCCCTGAAAACTAGACAGAAGCATTCTCAGAAACTTATTTGTGATGTGCGCCCTCAACTAACAGTGTTGAAGCATTCTTTTGATAGAGCAGTTTTGAAACACTCTTTTTGTGGAATCTGCAAGTGGATATTTGTCTAGCTTTGAGGATTTCGTTGGAAACGGGATTACATATAAAAAGCAGACAGCAGCATTCTCAGCAAACTTATTTGTGATGTGCGCCCTCAACTAACAGTGTGGAACTTTTCTTTTGATAGAGCAGTTTTGAAACACTCTTTTTGTAAAATCTGCAAGAGGATATTTGGATAGCTTTGAGGATTTCGTTGGAAACGGGATTGTCTTCATATAGAATCTAGACAGAAGCATTCTCAGAAGCTTCATTGGGATGTTTCAATTGAAGTCACAGTGTTGAACAGTCCCTTTCATAGAGCAGGTTTGAAACACTCTTTTTGTAGTATCTGGAAGTGGACATTTGGAGAGATCTCAGCAATACGGTGATAAAGGTAATATCTTCCAATAAAAGCTAGATAGAAGCAATGTCAGAAAATTTTTCATGATGTATCTACTCAGCTAACAGAGTTGAACCTTTCTTTTGAGAGAGCAGTTTTGAAACACTCTTTTTGTGGAATCTGCAAGTGGATATTTGTCTAGGTTTGAGGATTGCGTTTGAAACGGGATTACATATAAAAAGCAGACAGCAGCATTCCCAGAAACTTCTTTGTGATGTTTGCATTCAAGTCACAGAGTTGAACATTCCCTTTCATAGAGCAGGTTTGAAACACTCTTTTTGTAGTATCTGGAAGTGGACATTTGGAGCGCTCTCAGGACTACGGTGAAAAAGGAAATATCTTCCAATAAAAGCTAGATAGAAGCAATGTCAGAAACTTTTTCATGATGTATCTACTCAGCTAACAGAGTTGAACCTTTCTTTTGAGAGAGCAGTTTTGAAACACTCTTTTGGTGGAATCTGCAAGTGGATATTTGTCTAGCTTTGAGGATTTCGTTGGAAACGGGATTACATATAAAAAGCAGACAGCAGCATTCCCAGTAACTTCTTTGTGATGTTTGCATTCAAGTCAGAGAGTTGAACATTCCCTTTCATAGAGCAGGTTTGTAACACTCTTTTTGAAGTATCTGGATGTGGACATTTGGAGCGCTTTCAGGCCTATGGTGAAAAAGGAAATATCTTCCCCTGAAAACTAGACAGAAGTATTCTCAGAAAGTTATTTGTGATGTGCGCCCTCAACTAACAGTGTTGAAGCTTTCTTTTGATAGAGCAGTTTTGAAACATTCTTTTTGTAAAATCTGCAAGAGGATATTTGGATAGCTTTGAGGATTTCTTTGGAAACGGGATTGTCTTCATATTAACCCTAGACAGTAGCATTCTCAGTAAGCTTCATTGGGATGTTTCAATTGAAGTCACAGTGTTGAACAGTCCCTTTCATAGAGCAGGTTTGAAACACTCTTTTTGTAGCATCTGGAAATGGTCATTTTGAGCGTTCTCAGGACTACGGTGAAAAGGGAAATATCTTCCAATAAAAGCTAGATAGAAGCATTCTCAGAAACTTATTTGTGATGTGCCCCCTCAACTAACAGTGTTGAAGCTTTCTTTTGATAGAGCAGTTTTGAAACACTCTTTTTGTGGAATCTGCAAGTGGATATTTGTCTAGCTTTGAGGATTTCGTTGGAAACGGGATTACATATAAAAAGCAGCCAGCAGCATTCCCAGAAACTTCTTGGTGATATTTGCATTTAAGTCACAGACTTGAACATTCCCTTTCATAGAGCAGGTTTGAAACTCTCTTTTTGTAGTATCTGGATGTGGACATTTGAAGCGCTTTCAGGCCTATGGTGAAAAAGGAAATATCTTCCCCTGAAAACTAGACAGAAGCATTCTCAGAATCTTATTTGTGATGTGCGCCGTCAACTAACAGTGTTGAAGCTTTCTTTTGATAGAGCAGTTTTGAAACACTCTTTTCGTAAAATCTGCAGGAGGATATTTTGATAGCTTTGAGGATTTCGTTGGAAACGGGATTGTCTTCATATAAACTCTAGACAGAAGCATTCTCAGAAGCTTCATTGGGATGTTTCAATTGAAGTCACAGTGTTGAACAGTCCCTTTGATAGAGCAGGTTTGAAACACTCTTTTTGTAGTATCTGGATGTGGACATTTGCAGCGCTTTCAGGCATAAGGTGAAAAAGGAAATATCTTCCCCTGAAAACTAGACAGAAGCATTCTCAGAAACTTACTTGTGATGTGCGCCCTCAACTAACAGTGTTGAAGCTTTCTTTTGATAGAGTAGTTTTGAAACACTCTTTTTGTGGAATCTGCAAGTGGATATTTGTCTAGCTTTGAGGATTTCGTTGGAAACGGGATTACATATAAAAAGCAGACAGCAGCATTCTCAGAATCTTATTTGTGATGTGCGCCCTCAACTAACAGTGTTGAAGCTTTCTTTTGATAGAGCAGTTTTGAAACACTTTTTTCGTAAAATCTGCAAGAGGATATTTTGATAGCTTTGAGGATTTCGTTGGAAACGGGATTGTCTTCATGTAAACTCTAGACAGAAGCATTCTCAGAAGCTTCATTGGGATGTTTCAATTGAAGTCACAGTGTTGAACAGTCCCTTTCATAGAGCAGGTTTGAAACACTCTTTTTGTAGTATCTGGAAGTGGACATTTGGAGAGATCTCAGGAATACGGTGATAAAGGAAATATCTTCAAATAAAAGCTAGATAGAAGCAAAGTCAGAAACTTTTTCATGATGTATCTACTCAGCTAACAGAGTTGAACCTTTCTTTTGAGAGAGCAGTTTTGAAACACTCTTTTTGTGGAATCTGCAAGTGGATATTTGTCTAGCTTTGAGGATTTCGTTGGAAACGGGATTACATATAAAAAGCAGACAGCAGCATTCACAGTAACTTCTTTGTGATGTTTTCATTCAAGTCACAGAGTTGAACATTCCCTTTCATAGAGCAGGTTTGAAACACTCTTTTTGTAGTATCTGGATGTGGACATTTGGAGCGCTTTCAGGTCTATGGTGAAAAAGGAAATATCTTCCCCTGAAAACTAGACAGAAGCATTCTCAGAATCTTATTTGTGATGTGCGCCCTCAACTAACAGTGTTGAAGCTTTCTTTTGATAGAGCAGTTTTGAAACACTCTTTTTGTAAAATCTGCAAGAGGATATTTGGATAGCTTTGAGGATTTCGTTGGAAACGGGATTGTCTTCATATAAACTCTAGACAGAAGCATTCTCAGAAGCGTCATTGGGATGTTTCAATTGAAGTCACAGTGTTGAACAGTCCCTTTCATAGAGCAGGTTTGAAACACTCTTTTTGTAGTATCTGGATGTGGACATTTGGAGCGCTTTCAGGCCTATGGTTTAAAAGGAAATATCTTCCCCTGAAAACTAGACAGAAGCATTCTCAGAAACTTATTTGTGATGTGCGCCCTCAACTAACAGTGTTGAAGCATTCTTTTGATAGAGCAGTTTTGAAACACTCTTTTTGTGGAATCTGCAAGTGGATATTTGTCTAGCTTTGAGGATTTCGTTGGAAACGGGATTACATATAAAAAGCAGACAGCAGCATTCTCAGTAAACTTATTTGTGATGTGCGCCCTCAACTAACAGTGTTGAACCTTTCTTTTGATAGAGCAGTTTTGAAACACTCTTTTTGTAATATCTGCAAGAGGATATTTGGATAGCTTTGAGGATTTCGTTGGAAACGGGATTGTCTTCATATAAACTCTAGACAGAAGCATTCTCAGAAGCTTCATTGGGATGTTTCAATTGAAGTCACAGTGTTGAACAGTCCCTTTCATAGAGCAGGTTTGAAACACTCTTTTTGTAGTATATGGAAGTGGACATTTGGAGAGATCTCAGGAATACGGTGATAAAGGAAATATCTTCCAATAAAAGCTAGATAGAAGCAATGTCAGAAACTTTTTCATGATGTATCTACTCAGCTAACAGAGTTGAACCTTCCTTTGAGAGAGCAGATTTGAAACACTCGTTTTGTGGAATCTGCAAGTGGATATTTGTCTAGCTTTGAGGATTTCGTTGGAAACGGGATTACATATAAAAAGCAGACAGCAGAATTCCCAGAAACTTCTTTGTGTTGTTTGCATTCAAGTCACAGAGTTGAACATTCCCTTTCATAGAGCAGGTTTGAAACACTCTTTTTATAGTATCTGGATGTGGACATTTGCAGCGCTTTCAGGCCTAAGGTGAAAAAGGAAATATCTTCCCCTGAAAACTAGACAGAAGCATTCTCAGAAACTTATTTGTGATGTGCGCCCTCAACTAACAGTGTTGAACCTTTCTTTTGATAGAGCAGTTTTGAAACACTCTTTTTGTAAAATCTGCAAGAGGATATTTGGATAGCTTTGAGGCTTTCGTTGGAAACGGGATTGTCTTCATATAGAATCTAGACAGAAGCATTCTCAGAAGCTTCATTGGGGATGTTTCAATTGAAGTCACAGTGTTGAACAGTCCCTTTCATAGAGCAGGTTTGAAACACTCTTTTTGTAGTATCTGGATGTGGACATTTCGAGCGCTTTCAGGCCTATGGTGAAAAAGGAAATATCTTCCCCTGAAAACTAGACAGAAGCATTCTCAGAAACTTATTTGTGATGTGCGCCCTCAACTAACAGTGTTGAACCTTTCTTTTGATAGAGCAGTTTTGAAACACTCTTTTTGTAATATCTGCAAGAGGATATTTGGATAGCTTTGAGGATTTCGTTGGAAACGGGATTACATATAAAAAGCAGACAGCAGCATTCTCAGTAAACTTATTTGTGATGTGCGCCCTCAACTAACAGTGTTGAACCTTTCTTTTGATAGAGCAGTTTTGAAACACTCTTTTTGTAATATCTGCAAGAGGATATTTGGATAGCTTTGAGGATTTCGTTGGAAACGGGATTGTCTTCATATAAACTCTAGACAGAAGCATTCTCAGAAGCTTCATTGGGATGTTTCAATTGAAGACACAGTGTTGAACAGTCCCTTTCATAGAGCAGGTTTGAAACACTCTTTTTGTAGTATCTGGAAGTGGACATTTGGAGAGATCTCAGGAATACGGTGATAAAGGAAATATCTTCCAATAAAAGCTAGATAGAAGCAATGTCAGAAACTTTTTCATGATGTATCTACTCAGCTAACAGAGTTGAACCTTTCCTTTGAGAGAGCAGTTTTGAAACACTCTTTTTGTGGAATCTGCAAGTGGATATTTGTCTAGCTTTGAGGATTTCGTTGGAAACGGGATTACATATAAAAAGCAGACAGCAGCATTCCCAGAAACTTCTTTGTGAAGTTAGCATTCAAGTCACAGAGTTGAACATTCCCTTTCATAGAGCAGGTTTGAAACACTCTTTTTGTAGTATCTGGATGTGGACATTTGGAGCGCTTTCAGGCCTATGGTGAAAAAGGAAATATCTTCCCCTGAAAACTAGACAGAAGCATTCTCAGAATCTTATTTGTGATGTGCGCCCTCAATTAACAGTGTTGAAGCTTTCTTTTGATAGAGCAGTTTTGAAACACTCTTTTTGTAAAATCTGCAAGAGGATATTTGGATAGCTTTGAGGATTTCGTTGGAAACGGGATTGTCTTCATATAAACTCTAGACAGATAGCATTCTCAGCAGCTTCATTGGGATGTTTCAATTGAAGTCACAGTGTTGAACAGTCCCTTTCATAGAGCGGGTTTGAAACGCTCTTTTTGTAGTATCTGGAAGTGGACATTTGGAGAGTTCTCAGGAATACGGTGAAAAAGGAAATATCTTCCAATAAAAGCTAGACAGAAGCAATGTCAGAAAATTGTTCATGATGTATCTACTCAGCTAACAGTGTTGAACCTTCCTTTTGAGAGAGCAGTTTTGAAACACTATTTTTGTGGAATCTGCAAGTGGATATTTGTCTAGATTTGAGGATTTCGTTGGAAACGGGATTACATATAAAAAGCAGACAGCAGCATTCCCAGAAACTTCTTTGTGATGTTTGCATTCAAGTCACAGAGTTGAACATTCCCTTTCATAGAGCAGGTTTGAAACACTCTTTTTGTAGTATCTGGATGTGGACATTTGGAGCGCTTTCAGGCCTATGGTGAAAAAGGAAATATCTTCCCCTGAAAACTAGACAGAAGAATTCTCAGAATCTTATTTGTGATGTGCGCCCTCAACTAACAGTGTTGAAGCTTTCTTTTGATAGAGCAGTTTTGAAACACTCTTTTTGTAAAATCTGCAAGAGGATATTTGCATAGCTTTGAGGATTTCGTTGGAAACGGGATTGTCTTCATATAAACTCTAGACAGAAGCATTCTCAGAAGCGTCATTGGGATGTTTCAATTGAAGTCACAGTGTTGAACAGTCCCTTTCATAGAGCAGGTTTGAAACACTCTTTTTGTAGTATCTGGATGTGGACATTTGGAGCGCTTTCAGGCCTATGGTTTAAAAGGAAATATCTTCCCCTGAAAACTAGACAGAAGCATTCTCAGAAACTTATTTGTGATGTGCGCCTTCAACTAACAGTGTTGAAGCATTCTTTTGATAGAGCAGTTTTGAAACACTCTTTTTGTGGAATCTGCAAGTGGATATTTGTCTAGCTTTGAGGATTTCGTTGGAAACGGGATTACATATAAAAAGCAGACAGCAGCATTCTCAGAAACTTATTTGTGATGTGCGCCCTCAACTAACAGTGTTGAAGCTTTCTTTTGATAGAGCAGTTTTGAAACACTCTTTTTGTAATATCTGCAAGAGGATATTTGGATAGCTTTGAGGATTTCGTTGGAAACGGGATTAATTATACAAAGCAGACAGCAGCATTCTCAGAAGCTTCATTGGGATGTTTCAATTGAAGTCACAGTGTTGAACAGTCCCTTTCATAGAGCAGGTTTGAAACACTCTTTTTGTAGTATCTGGAAGTGGACATTTGGAGCGCTCTCAGGACTGCGGTGAAAAAGGAAATATCTTCCAATAAAAGCTAGATAGAAGCAATGTCAGAAACTTTTTCGTGATGTATCTACTCAGCTAACAGAGTTGAACCTTTCCTTTGAGAGAGCAGTTTTGAAACACTCTTTTTGTGGAATCTGCAAGTGGATATTTGCTTAGCTTTGAGGATTTCGTTGGAAACGGGATTACATATAAAAAGCAGACAGCAGCATTCCCAGAATCTTCTTTGTGATGTTTGCATTCAAGTCACAGAGTTGAACAGTCCCTTTCATAGAGCAGGTTTGAAACACTCTTTTTGTAATATCTGGATGTGGACATTTGGAGCGCTTTCAGGCCTATGGTGAAAAAGGAAATATCTTCCCCTGAAAACTAGACAGAAGCATTCTCAGAATCTTATTTGTGATGTGCGCCCTCAACTAACAGTGTTGAAGCTTTCTTTTGATAGAGCAGTTTTGAAACACTCTTTTCGTAAAATCTGCAAGAGGATATTTGGATGGCTTTGAGGATTTCGTTGGAAACGGGATTGTCTTCATATAAACTCTAGACAGAAGCATTCTCAGTAAGCTTCATTGGGATGTTTCAATTGAAGTCACAGTGTTGAACAGTCCCTTTCATAGAGCAGGTTTGAAACACTCTTTTTGTAGTATCTGGATGTGGACATTTGGAGCGCTTTCAGGCCTATGGTTTAAAAGGAAATATCTTCCCCTGAAAACTAGACAGAAGCATTCTCAGAAACTTATTTGTGATGTGCGCCCTCAACTAACAGTGTTGAACCTTTCTTTTGATAGAGCAGTTTTGAAACACTCTTTTTGTAATATCTGCAAGAGGATATTTGGATAGCTTTGAGGATTTCGTTGGAAACGGGATTACATATAAAAAGCAGACAGCAGCATTCTCAGTAAACTTATTTGTGATGTGCGCCCTCAACTAACAGTGTTGAACCTTTCTTTTGATAGAGCAGTTTTGAAACACTCTTTTTGTAATATCTGCAAGAGGATATTTGGATAGCTTTGAGGATTTCGTTGGAAACGGGATTGTCTTCATATAAACTCTAGACAGAAGCATTCTCAGAAGCTTCATTGGGATGTTTCAATTGAAGTCACAGTGTTGAACAGTCCCTTTCATAGAGCAGGTTTGAAACACTCTTTTTGTAGTATCTGGAAGTGGACATTTGGAGCGCTCTCAGGACTGCGGTGAAAAAGGAAATATCTTCCAATAAAAGCTACATAGAAGCAATGTCAGAAACTTTTTCATGATGTATCTACTCAGCTAACAGAGTTGAACCTTTCTTTTGAGAGAGCAGTTTTGAAACACTCTTTTTGTGGAATCTGCAAGTGGATATTTGTCTAGCTTTGAGGATTTCGATGGAAACGGGATTACATATAAAAAGCAGACAGCAGCATTCCCAGAAACTTCTTTGTGATGTTTGCATTCAAGTCACAGAGTTGAACATTCCCTTTCATAGAGCAGGTTTGAAACACTCTTTTTGTAGTATGTGGATGTGGACATTTGGAGCGCTTTCAGGCCTATGGTGAAAAAGGAAATATCTTCCCCTGAAAACTGGACAGAAGCATTCTCAGAAACTTATTTGTGATGTGCGCCCTCAACTAACAGTGTTGAAGCTTTCTTTTGATAGAGCAGTTTTGAAACACTCTTTTTGTAATATCTGCAAGAGGATATTTGGATAGCTTTGAGGATTTCGTTGGAAACGGGATTGTCTTCATATAAACTCTAGACAGAAGCATTCTCAGAAGCTTCATTGGGATGTTTCAATTGAAGTCACAGTGTTGAACAGTCCCTTTCATAGAGCAGGTTTGAAACACTCTTTTTGTAGTATCTGAAAGTGGACATTTGGAGAGATCTCAGGAATACGGTGATAAAGGAAATATCTTCCAATAAAAGCTAGATAGAAGCATTCTCAGAAACTTATTAGTGATGTGCGCCCTCAACTAACAGTGTTGAAGCTTTCTTTTGATAGAGCAGTTTTGAAACACTCTTTTTGTGGAATCTGGAAGTGGATATTTGTCTAGCTTTGAGGATTTCGTTGGAAACGGGATTACATATAAAAAGCAGACAGCAGCATTCTCAGAAACTTATTTGTGATGTGCGCCCTCAACTAACAGTGTTGAAGCTTTATTTTGATAGAGCAGTTTTGAAACACTCTTTTTGTAATATCTGCAAGAGAATATTTGGATAGCTTTGAGGATTTCGTTGGAAACGGGATTGTCTTCATATAAACTCTAGAAAGAAGCATTCTCAGAAGCTTCATTGGGATGTTTCAATTGAAGTCACAGTGTTGAAAAGTCCCTTTCATAGAACAGGTTTGAAACACTCTTTTTGTAGTATCTGGAAGTGGACATTTGGAGCGCTCTCAGGACTATGGTGAAAAAGGAAATATCTTCCAATAAAAGCTACATAGAAGCAATGTCAGAAACTTTTTCATGATGTATCTACTCAGCTAACAGAGGTGAACCTTTCCTTTGAGAGAGCAGTTTTGAAACACTCTTTTTGTGGAATCTGCAAGTGGATATTTGTCTAGCTTTGAGGATTTCGTTGGAAACGGGATTACATATAAAAAGCAGACAGCAGCATTCCCAGTAACTTCTTTGTGATGTTTGCATTCAAGTCACAGAGTTGAACATTCCCTTTCATAGAGCAGGTTTGAAACACTCTTTTTGAAGTATCTGGATGTGGACATTTGGAGCGCTTTCAGGCCTATGGTGAAAAAGGAAATATCTTCCCCTGAAAACTAGACAGAAGCATTCTCAGAATCTTATTTGTGATGTGCGCCCTCAACTAACAGTGTTGAAGCTTTCTTTTGATAGAGCAGTTTTGAAACACTCCTTTTGTAAAATCTGCAAGAGGATATTTGGATAGCTTTGAGGATTTCGTTGGAAACGGGATTGTCTTCATATAAACTCTAGACAGAAGCATTCTCAGAAGCCTCATTGGGATGTTTCAATTGAAGTCACAGTGTTGAACAGTCCCTTTCATAGAGCAGGTTTGAAACACTCTTTTTGTAGTATCTGGAAGTGGACATTTGGAGCGCTTTCAGGCCTATGGTGAAAAAGGAAATATCTTCCTCTGAAAACTAGACAGAAGCATTCTCAGAAACTTATTTGTGATGTGCGCCCTCAACTAACAGTGTTGAAGCTTTCTTTTGATAGAGCAGTTTTGAAACACTCTTTTTGTAATATCTGCAAGAGGATATTTGGATAGCTTTGAGGATTTCGTTGGAAACGGGATTAATTATAAAAAGCAGACAGCGGCATTCTCAGAATCTTATTTGGAATGTGCGCCCTCAACTAACAGTGTTGAAGCTTTCTTTTGCTAGAGCAGTTTTTAAACACTCTTTTTGTAAAATCTGCAAGACGATATTTGGATAGCTTTGAGGATTTCGTTGGAAACGGGAATGTCTTCATATAAACTCTAGACAGAAGCATTCTCAGAAGCTTCATTGGGATGTTTCAATTGAAGTCACAGTGTTGAACAGTCCCTTTCATAGAGCAGGTTTGAAACACTCTTTTTGTAGTATCTGGAAGTGGACATTTGGAGCGCTCTCAGGACTGCGGTGAAAAAGGAATTATCTTCCAATAAAAGCTAGATAGAAGCATTCTCAGAAACTTATTTGTGATGTGCGCCCTCAACTAACAGTGTTGAAGCTTTCTTTTGATAGAGCTGTTTTGAAACACTCTTTTTGTGGAATCTGCAAGTGGATATTTGTCTAGCTTTGAGGATTTCGTTGGAAACGGGATTACATATAAAAAGCAGACAGCAGCATTCCCAGAATCTTCTTTGTGATGTTTGCATTCAAGTCACAGAGTTGAACATTGCCTTTCAGAGAGCAGGTTTGAAACACTCTTTTTAGAGTATCTGGATGTGGACATTTGGAGCGCTTTCAGGCCTATGGTGAAAAGGGAAATATCTTCTCCTGAAAACTAGACAGAAGCATTCTCAGAATCTTATTTGTGATGTGCGCCCTCAACTAACAGTGTTGAAGCTTTCTATTGATAGAGCAGTTTTGAAACACTCTTTTTGTAAAATCTGCAAGAGGATATTTGGATAGCTTTGAGGATTTCATTGGAAACGGGATTGTCTTCATATAAACTCTAGACAGAAGCATTCTCAGATGTTTCATTGGGATGTTTCAATTGAAGTCACAGTGTTGAACAGTCCCTTTCATAGAGCAGGTTTGAAACACTCTTTTTGTAGTATCTGGATGTGGACATTTGGAGCGCTTTCAGGCCTATGGTGAAAAAGGAAATATCTTCCCCTGAAAACTAGACAGAAGCATTCTCAGAAACTTATTTGTGATGTGCGCCCTCAACTAACAGTGTTGAAGCTTTCTTTTGATAGAGCAGTTTTGAAACACTCTTTTTGTAATATCTGCAAGAGGATATTTGGATAGCTTTGAGGATTTCGTTGGAAACGGGATTAATTATAAAAAGCAGACAGCAGCATTCTCAGCAAACTTATTTGTGATGTGCGCCCTCAACTAACAGTGTGGAACTTTTCTTTTGATAGAGCAGTTTTGAAACACTCTTTTTGTAAAATCTGCAAGAGGATATTTGGATAGCTTTGAGGATTTCGTTGGAAACGGGATTGTCTTCATATAGAATCTAGACAGAAGCATTCTCAGAAGCTTCTTTGGGATGTTTCAATTGAAGTCACAGTGTTGAACAGTTCCTTTCATAGAACAGGTTTGAAACACTCTTTTTGTAGTATCTGGAAGTGGACATTTGGAGCGCTCTCAGGACTATGGTGAAAAAGGAAATATCTTCCAATAAAAGCTACATAGAAGCAATGTCAGAAACTTTTTCATGATGTATCTACTCAGCTAACAGAGTTGAACCTTTCCTTTGAGAGAGCAGTTTTGAAACACTCTTTTTGTGGAATCTGCAAGTGGATATTTGTCTAGCTTTGAGGATTTCGTTGGAAACGGGATTACATATAAAAAGCAGACAGCAGCATTCCCAGAAACTTCTTTGTGATGTTTGCATTCAAGTCACAGAGTTGAACATTCCCTTTCAGAGAGCAGGTTTGAAACACTCTTTTTGTAGTATCTGGATGTGGACATTTGGAGCGCTTTCAGGCCTATGGTGAAAAAGGAAATATCTTCCCCTGAAAACTAGACAGAAGCATTCTCAGAATCTTATTTGTGATGTGCGCCCTCAACTAACAGTGTTGAAGCTTTCTTTTGATAGAGCAGTTTTGAAACACTCTTTTTGTAAAATCTGCAAGAGGATATTTGGATAGCTTTGAGGATTTCATTGGAAACGGGATTGTCTTCATATAGAATCTAGACAGAAGCATTCTCAGAAGCTTCATTGGGATGTTTCAATTGAAGTCACAGTGTTGAACAGTCCCTTTCATAGAGCAGGTTTGAAACACTCTTTTTGTAGTATCTGGATGTGGACATTTCGAGCGCTTTCAGGCCTATGGTGAAAAAGGAAATATCTTCCCCTGAAAACTAGACAGAAGCATTCTCAGAAACTTATTTGTGATGTGCGTCCTCAACTAACAGTGTTGAACCTTTCTTTTGATAGAGCAGTTTTGAAACACTCTTTTTGTAATATCTGCAAGAGGATATTTGGATAGCTTTGAGGATTTCGTTGGAAACGGGATTACATATAAAAAGCAGACAGCAGCATTCTCAGAAACTTATTTGTGATGTGCGCCCTCAACTAACAGTGTTGAAGCTTTATTTTGATAGAGCAGTTTTGAAACACTCTTTTTGTAATATCTGCAAGAGAATATTTGGATAGCTTTGAGGATTTCGTTGGAAACGGGATTGTCTTCATATAAACTCTAGAAAGAAGCATTCTCAGAAGCTTCATTGGGATGTTTCAATTGAAGTCATGGTGTTGAACAGTCCCTTTCATAGAGCAGGTTTGAAACACTCTTTTTGTAGTATCTGGAAGTGGACATTTGGAGCGCTCTCAGGACTAATGTGAAAAAGGAAATATCTTCCAATAAAAGCTAGATTGAAGCAATGTCAGAAACTTTTTCATGATGTATCTACTCAGCTAACAGAGTTGAACCTTCATTTGAGAGAGCAGTTTTGAAACACTCTTTTTGTGGAATCTGCAAGTGGATATTTGTCTAGCTTTGAGGATTTCGTTGGAAACGGGATTAATTATAAAAAGCAGACAGCAGCATTCCCAGAAACTTCTTTGTGATGTTTGCATTCAAGTGACAGAGTTGAACATTCCCTTTCATAGAGCAGGTTTGAAACACTCTTTTTGTAGTATCTGGATGTGGACATTTGGAGCGCTTTCAGGCCTATGGTGAAAAAGGAAATATCTTCCCCTGAAAACTGGACAGAAGCATTCTCAGAAACTTATTTGTGATGTGCGCCCTCAACTAACAGTGTTGAAGCTTTCTTTTGATAGAGCAGTTTTGAAACACTCTTTTTGTAATATCTGCAAGAGGATATTTGGATAGCTTTCAGGATTTCGTTGGAAACGGGATTGTCTTCATATAAACTCTAGACAGAACCATTCTCAGAAGCTTCATTGGGATGTTTCAATTGAAGTCACAGTGTTGAACAGTCCCTTTCATAGAGCAGGTTTGAAACACTCTTTTTGTAGTATCTGGAAGTGGACATTTGGAGAGATCTCAGGACTACGGTGAAAAAGGAAATATCTTCCAATAAAAGCTAGATAGAAGCATTCTCAGAAACTTATTTGTGATGTGCGCCCTCAACTAACAGTGTTGAAGCTTTCTTTTGATAGAGCAGTTTTGAAACACTCTTTTTGTGGAATCTGCAAGTGGATATTTGTCTAGCTTTGAGGATTTCGTTGGAAACGGGATTACATATAAAAAGCAGACAGCAGCATTCTCAGTAAACTTATTTGTGATGTGCGCCCTCAACTAACAGTGTTGAACCTTTCTTTTGATAGAGCAGTTTTGAAACACTCTTTTTGTAATATCTGCAAGAGGATATTTGGATAGCTTTGAGGATTTCGTTGGAAACGGGATTGTCTTCATATAAACTCTAGACAGAAGCATTCTCAGAAGGTTCATTGGGATGTTTCAATTGAAGTCACAGTGTTGAACAGTCCCTTTCATAGAGCAGGTTTGAAACACTCTTTTTGTAGCATCTGGAAGTGGACATTTGGAGCGCTCTCAGGACTACGGTGAAAAAGGAAATATCTTCCGATAAAAGCTAGATAGAAGCAATGTCAGAAACTTTTTCATGATGTATCTACTCAGCTAACAGAGTTGAACCTTTCTTTTGAGAGAGCAGTTTTGAAACACTCTTTTTGTAAAATCTGCAAGAGGATATTTGGATAGCTTTGAGGATTTCGTTGGAAACGGGATTGTCTTCATATAAACTCTAGACAGAAGCATTCTCAGAAGCGTCATTGGGATGTTTCAATTGAAGTCACAGTGTTGAACAGTCCCTTTCATAGAGCAGGTTTGAAACACTCTTTTTGTAGTATCTGGATGTGGACATTTGGAGCGCTTTCAGGCCTATGGTTTAAAAGGAAATATCTTCCCCTGAAAACTAGACAGAAGCATTCTCAGAAACTTATTTGTGATGTGCGCCCTCAACTAACAGTGTTGAAGCTTTCTTTTGATAGAGCAGTTTTGAAACACTCTTTTTGTAATATCTGCAAGAGAATATTTGGATAGCTTTGAGGATTTCGTTGGAAACGGGATTAATTATAAAAAGCAGACAGCAGCATTCTCAGTAAACTTATTTGTGATGTGCGCCCTCAACTAACAGTGTTGAACCTTTCTTTTGATAGAGCAGTTTTGAAACACTCTTTTTGTAATATCTGCAAGAGGATATTTGGATAGCTTTGAGGATTTCGTTGGAAACGGGATTGTCTTCATATAAACTCTAGACAGAAGCATTGTCAGAAGCTTCATTGGGATGTTTCAATTGAAGTCACAGTGTTGAACAGTCCCTTTCATAGAGCAGGTTTGAAACACTCTTTTTGTAGTATCTGGAAGTGGACATTTGGAGTGCTCTCAGGACTACGGTGATAAAGGAAATATCTTCCAATTAAAGCTAGATAGAAGCAATGTCAGAAACTTTTTCATGATGTATCTACTCAGCTAACAGAGTTGAACCTTTCTTTTGAGAGAGCAGTTTTGAAACACTCTTTTTGTGGAATCTGCAAGTGGATATTTGTCTAGCTTTGAGGATTTCGTTGGAAACGGGATTACATATAAAAAGCAGACAGCAGCATTCCCAGAAACTTCTTTGTGATGTTTGCATTCAAGTGTCAGAGTTGAAGATTCCCTTTCATAGAGCAGGTTTGAAACACTCTTTTTGTAGTATCTGGATGTGGACATTTGGAGCGCTTTCAGGCATATGGTGAAAAAGGAAATATCTTCCCCTGAAAACTAGACAGAAGCATTCTCAGAAACTTATTTGTGATGTGCGCCCTCAACTAACAGTGTTGAACTTTTCTTTTGATAGAGCAGTTTTGAAACACTCTTTTTGTAAAATCTGCAAGAGGATATTTGGATAGCTTTGAGGATTTCGTTGGAAACGGGATTGTCTTCATATAAAATCTAGACAGAAGCATTCTCAGAAGCTTCATTAGGATGTTTCAATTGAAGTCACAGTGTTGAACATTCCCTTTGATAGAGCAGGTTTGAAACACTCTTTTTGTAGTATCTGGAAGTGGACATTTGGAGCGCTTTCAGGCCTATGGTGAAAAAGGAAATATTTTCCACTGAAAACTAGACAGAAGCATTCTCAGAAACTTATTTGTGATGTGCGCCCTCAACTAACAGTGTTGAAGCTTTCTTTTGATAGAGCAGTTTTGAAACACTCTTTTTGTAATATCTGCAAGAGGATATTTGTCTAGCTTTGAGGATTTCGTTGGAAACGGGATTACATATAAAAAGCAGACAGCAGCATTCTCAGAAACTTAATTGTGATGTGCGCCCTCAACTAACAGTGTTGAAGCTTTCTTTTGATAGAGCCGTTTTGAAACACTCTTTTTGTAATATCTGCAAGAGGATATTTGGATAGCTTTGAGGATTTCGTTGGAAACGGGATTGTCTTCATATAAACTCTAGACAGAAGCATTCTCAGAGGCTTCATCGGGATGTTTCAATTGAAGTCACAGTGTTGAACAGTTCCTTTCATAGAACAGGTTTGAAACACTCTTTTTGTAGTATCTGGAAGTGGACATTTGGAGCGCTCTCAGGACTATGGTGAAAAAGGAAATATCTTCCAATAAAAGCTACATAGAAGCAATGTCAGAAACTTTTTCATGATGTATCTACTCAGCTAACAGAGTTGAACCTTTCCTTTGAGAGAGCAGTTTTGAAACACTCTTTTTGTGGAATCTGCAAGTGGATATTTGTCTAGCTTTGAGGATTTCGTTGGAAACGGGATTACCTATAAAAAGCAGACAGCAGCATTCCCAGAAACTTCTTTGTGATGTTTGCATTCAAGTCACAGAGTTGAACATTCCCTTTCAGAGAGCAGGTTTGAAACACTCTTTTTGTAGTATCTGGATGTGGACATTTGGAGCGCTTTCAGGCCTATGGTGAAAAAGGAAATATCTTCCCCTGAAAACTAGACAGAAGCATTCTCAGAATCTTATTTGTGATGTGCGCCCTCAACTAACAGTGTTGAAGCTTTCTTTTGATAGAGCAGTTTTGAAACACTCTTTTTGTAAAATCTGCAAGAGGATATTTGGATAGCTTTGAGGATTTCGTTGGAAACGGGATTGTCTTCATATAAACTCTAGACAGAAGCATTCTCAGAAGCTTCATTGGGATGTTTCAATTGAAGTCACAGTGTTGAACAGTCCCTTTCATAGAGCAGGTTTGAAACACTCTTTTTGTAGAATCTGGATGTGGACATTTGGAGCGCTTTCAGGCATAAGGTGAAAAAGGAAATATCTTCCCCTGAAAACTAGACAGAAGCATTCTCAGAAACTTATTTGTGATGTGCGCCTTCAACTAACAGTGTTGAAGCATTCTTTTGATAGAGCAGTTTTGAAACACTCTTTTTGTGGAATCTGCAAGTGGATATTTGTCTAGCTTTGAGGATTTCGTTGGAAACGGGATTACATATAAAAAGCAGACAGCAGCATTCTCAGTAAACTTATTTGTGATGTGCGCCCTCAACTAACAGTGTTGAACCTTTCTTTTGATAGAGCAGTTTTGAAACACTCTTTTTGTAATATCTGCAAGAGGATATTTGGATAGCTTTGAGGATTTCGTTGGAAACGGGATTGTCTTCATATAAACTCTAGACAGAAGCATTCTCAGAAGCTTCATTGGGATGTTTCAATTGAAGTCACAGTGTTGAACAGTCCCTTTCGTAGAGCAGGTTTGAAACACTCTTTTTGTAATATCTGGAAGTGGAGATTTGGAGCGCTCTCAGGACGACGGTGAAAAAGGAAATATCTTCCAATAAAAGCTAGATAGAAGCAATGTCAGAAACTTTTTCATGATGTATCTACTCAGCTAACAGAGTTGAACCTTTTTTTTGAGAGAGCAGTTTTGAAACAGTCTTTTTGTTGGATCTGCAGGTGGATATTTGTCTAGCTTTGAGGATTTCGTTGGAAACGGGATTACATATAAAAAGCAGACAGCAGCATTACCAGAAAGTTCTTTGTGAAATTTGCATTCAAGTCACAGACTTGAACATTTCCTTTCATAGAGCAGGTTTGAAACACTCTTTTTGTAGTATCTGGATGTGGACATTTGGAGCGCTTTCAGGCCTATGGTGAAAAAGGAAATATCTTCCCCTGAAAACTAGACAGAAGCATTCTCAGAAACTTATTTGTGATGTGCGCCCTCAACTAACAGTGTTAAACCTTTCTTTTGATAGAGTAGTTTTGAAACACTCTTTTTGTAAAATCTGCAAGAGGATATTTGGATAGCTTTGAGGATTTCGTTGGAAACGGGATTGTCTTCATATAAAATCTAGACAGAAGCATTCTCAGAAGCTTCATTGGGATGTTTCAATTGAAGTCACAGTGTTGAACAGTCCCTTTCATAGAGCAGGTTTGAAACACTCTTTTTGTAGTATCTGGATGTGGACATTTGGAGCGCTTTCAGGCCTATGGTTTAAAAGGAAATATCTTCCCCTGAAAAGTAGACAGAAGCATTCTCAGAAACTTATTTGTGATGTGCCCCCTCAACTAACAGTGTTGAAGCTTTCTTTTGATAGAGCAGTTTTGAAACACTCTTTTTGTGGAATCTGCAAGTGGATATTTGTCTAGCTTTGAGGATTTCGTTGGAAACGGGATTACATATAAAAAGCAGACAGCAGCATTCTCAGAAACTTATTTGTGATGTGCGCCCTCAACTAACAGTGTTGAAGCTTTCTTTTGATAGAGCAGTTTTGAAACACTCTTTTTGTAATATCTGCAAGAGGATATTTGGATAGCTTTGAGGATTTCGTTGGAAACGGGATTAATTATACAAAGCAGACAGCAGCATTCTCAGAAGCTTCATTGGGATGTTTCAATTGAAGTCACAGTGTTGAACAGTTCCTTTCATAGAACAGGTTTGAAACACTCTTTTTGTAGTATCTGGAAGTGGACATTTGGAGCGCTCTCAGGACTACGGTGAAAAAGGAAATATCTTCCAATAAAAGCTACATAGAAGCAATGTCAGAAACTTTTTCATGATGTATCTACTCAGCTAACAGAGTTGAACCTTTCCTTTGAGAGAGCAGTTTTGAAACACTCTTTTTGTGGAATCTGCAAGTGGATATTTGTCTAGCTTTGAGGATTTCGTTGGAAACGGGATTACATATAAAAAGCAGACAGCAGCATTCCCAGAAACTTCTTTGTGATGTTTGCATTCAAGTCACAGAGTTGAACATTCCCTTTCATAGAGCAGGTTTGAAACACTCTTTTTGTAGTATCTGGATGTGGACATTTGCAGCGCTTTCAGGCCTAAGGTGAAAAAGGAAATATCTTCCCCTGAAAATTAGACAGAAGCATTCTCAGAATCTTATTTGTGATGTGCACCCTCAACTAACAGTGTTGAAGCTTTCTTTTGATAGAGCAGTTTTGAAACACTCTTTTCGTAAAATCTGCAAGAGGACATTTGGTTAGCTTTGAGGATTTCGTTGGAAACGGGATTGTCTTCATATAAACTCTAGACAGAAGCATTCTCAGAAGCTTCATTGGGATGTTTCAACTGAAGTCACAGTGTTCAACAGTCCCTTTCATAGAGCAGGTTTGAAACACTCTTTTTGTAGTATCTGGAAGTGGACATTTGGAGCGCTCTCAGGACTGCGGTGAAAAAGGAAATATCTTCCAATAAAAGCTGGATAGAAGAAATGTCAGAAACTTTTTCATGATGTATCTACTCAGCTAATAGAGTTGAACCTTCCTTTGAGAGAGCAGTTTTGAAACACTCTTTTTGTGGAATCTGCAAGTGGATATTTGTCTAGCTTTGAGGATTTCGTTGGAAACGGGATTACATATAAAAAGCAGACAGCAGCATTCCCAGAAACTTCTTTGTGATGTTTGCATTCAAGTCACAGAGTTGAACATTCCCTTTCATAGAGCAGGTTTGAAACACTCTTTTTGTAGTGTCTGGATGTGGACATTTGGAGCGCTCTCAGGCCTATGGTGAAAAAGGAAATATCTTCCCCTGAAAACTAGACAGAAGCATTCTCAGAAACTTATTTGTGATGTGCGCCGTCAACTAACAGTGTTGAACCTTTCTTTTGATAGAGTAGTTTTGAAACACTCTTTTTGTAAAATCTGCAAGAGGATATTTGGATAGCTTTGAGTATTTCGTTGGAAACGGGATTGTCTTCATATAAACTCTAGACAATAGCATTCTCAGAAGCTTCATTGGGATGTTTCAATTGAAGTCACAGTGTTGAACAGTCCCTTTCATAGAGCAGGTTTGAAACACTCTTTTTGTAGTATCTGGATGTGGACATTTGGAGCGCTTTCAGGCATATGGTTTAAAAGGAAATATCTTCCCCTGAAAACTAGACAGAAGCATTCTCAGAAACTTATTTGTGATGTGCGCCCTCAACTAACAGTGTTGAAGCTTTCTTTTGATAGAGCAGTTTTGAAACACTCTTTTTGTGGAATCTGCAAGTGGATATTTGTCTAGCTTTGAGGATTTCGTTGGAAACGGGATTACATATAAAAAGCAGACAGCAGCATTCTCAGAAACTTATTTGTGATGTGCGCCCTCAACTAACAGTGTTGAAGCTTTATTTTGATAGAGCAGTTTTGAAACACTCTTTTTGTAATATCTGCAAGAGAATATTTGGATAGCTTTGAGGATTTCGTTGGAAACGGGATTGTCTTCATATAAACTCTAGAAAGAAGCATTCTCAGAAGCTTCATTGGGATGTTTCAATTGAAGTCACAGTGTTGAACAGTCCCTTTCATAGAGCAGGTTTGAAACACTCTTTTTGTAGTATCTGGAAGTGGACATTTGGAGCGCTCTCAGGACTGCGGTGAAAAAGGAAATATCTTCCAATAAAAGCTAGATAGAAGCAATGTCAGAAACTTTTTCATGATGTATCTACTCAGCTAACAGAGTTGAACCTTTCCTTTGAGAGAGCAGTTTTGAAACACTCTTTTTGTGGAATCTGCAAGTGGATATTTGTCTAGCTTTGAGGATTTCGTTGGAAACGGGATTACATATAAAAAGCAGACAGCAGCATTCCCAGAAACTTCTTTGTGATGTTTGCATTCAAGTCACAGAGTTGAACATTCGCTTTCATAGAGCAGGTTTGAAACACTCTTTTTGTAGTATCTGGATGTGGACATTTGGAGCGCTTTCAGGCCTATGGTGAAAAAGGAAATATCTTCCCCTGAAAACAAGACAGAAGCATTCTCAGAAACTTATTTGTGATGTGCGCCCTCAACTAACAGTGTTGAAGCTTTCTTTTGATAGAGCAGTTTTGAAACACTCTTTTTGTAAAATCTGCAAGAGGATATTTGGATAGCTTTGAGGATTTCGTTGGAAACGGGATTGTCTTCATATACAATCTAGACAGAAGCATTCTCAGAAGCTTCATTGGGATGTTTCAATTGAAGTCACAGTGTTGAACAGTCCCTTTCATAGAGCAGGTATGAAACACTCTTTTTGTAGTATCTGGATGTGGACATTTGGAGCGCTTTCAGGCCTATGGTGAAAAAGGAAATATCTTCCCCTGAAAACTAGAGAGAAGCATTCTCAGAAACTTATTTGTGATGTGCGCCCTCAACTAACAGTGTTGAAGCATTCTTTTGATAGAGCAGTTTTGAAACACTCTTTTTGTGGAATCTGCAAGTGGATATTTGTCTAGCTTTGAGGATTTCGTTGGAAACGGGATTACATATAAAAAGCAGACAGCAGCATTCTCAGAAACTTATTTGTGATGTGCGCCCTCAACTAACAGTGTTGAAGCTTTCTTTTGATAGAGCAGTTTTGAAACACTCTTTTTGTAATATCTGCAAGAGGATATTTGGATAGCTTTGAGGATTTCGTTGGAAACGGGATTAATTATACAAAGCAGACAGCAGCATTCTCAGAAGCTTCATTGGGATGTTTCAATTGAAGTCACAGTGTTGAACAGTCCCTTTCATAGAGCAGGTTTGAAACACTCTTTTTGTAGTATCTGGAAGTGGACATTTGGAGCACTCTCAGGACTATGGTGAAAAAGGTAATATCTTCCAATAAAAGCTAGATAGAAGCAATGTCAGAAACTTTTTCATGATGTATCTACTCAGCTAACAGAGTTGAACCTTTCTTTTGAGAGAGCAGTTTTGAAACACTCTTTTTGTGGAATCTGCAAGTGGATATTTGTCTAGCTTTGAGGATTTCGTTGGAAACGGGATTACATATAAAAAGCAGACAGCAGCATTCCCAGAAATTTCTTTGTGAAGTTTGCATTCAAGTCACAGAGTTGAACATTCCCTTTCATAGAGCAGGTTTGAAACACTCTTTTTGTAGTATCTGTATGTGGACATTTGGAGCGCTTTCAGGCCTATGGTGAAAAAGGAAATATCTTCCCCTGAAAACTAGACAGAAGCATTCTCAGAATCTTATTTGTGATGTGCGCCCTCAACTAACAGTGTTGAAGATTTCTTTTGATAGAGCAGTTTTGAAACACTCTTTTTGTAAAATCTGCAGGAGGATATTTGGATAGCTTTGAGGATTTCTTTGGAAACGGGATTGTCTTCATATAAACTCTAGACAGAAGCATTCTCAGAAGCGTCATTGGGATGTTTCAATTGAAGTCACAGTGTTGAACAGTCCCTTTCATAGAGCAGGTTTGAAACACTCTTTTTGTAGTATCTGGATGTGGACATTTGGAGCGCTTTCAGGCCTATGGTTTAAAAGGAAATATCTTCCCCTGAAAACTAGACAGAAGCATTCTCAGAAACTTATTTGTGATGTGCGCCCTCAACTAACAGTGTTGAAGCTTTCTTTTGACAGAGCAGTTTTGAAACACTCTTTTTATCTGCAAGTGGATATTTGTCTAGCTTTGAGGATTTCGTTGGAAACGGGATTACATATAAAAAGCAGACAGCAGCATTCTCAGAAACTTATTTGTGATGTGCGCCCTCAACTAACAGTGTTGAAGCTTTCTTTTGATAGAGCAGTTTTGAAACACTCTTTTTGTAATATCTGCAAGAGGATATTTGGATAGCTTTGAGGATTTCGTTGGAAACGGGATTAATTATACAAAGCAGACAGCAGCATTCTCAGAAGCTTCATTGGGATGTTTCAATTGAAGTCACAGTGTTGAACAGTCCCTTTCATAGAGCAGGTTTGAAACACTCTTTTTGTAGTATCTGGAAGTGGACATTTGGAGCGCTCTCAGGACTGCAGTGAAAAAGGAAATATCTTCCAATAAAAGCTAGATAGAAGCAATGTCAGAAACTTTTTCATGATGTATCTACTCAGCTAACAGCAGTTGAACCTTTCTTTTGAGACAGCAGTTTTGAAACACTCTTTTTGTGGAATCTGGAAGTGGATATTTGTCTAGCTTTGAGGATTTCGTTGGAAACGGGATTACATATAAAAAGCAGACAGCAGCATTCCCAGAAACTTCTTTGTGATGTTTGCATTCAAGTCACAGAGTTGAACATTCCCTTTCATAGAGCAGGTTTGAAACACTCTTTTTGTAGTATCTGGATGTGGACATTTTCAGCGCTTTCAGGCCTAAGGTGAAAAAGGAAATATCTTCCCCTGAAAACTAGACAGAAGCATTCTCAGAATCTTATTTGTGATGTGCGTCCTCAACTTACAGTGTTGAAGCTTTCTTTTGATAGAGCAGTTTTGAAACACTCTTTTCGTAAAATCTGCAAGAGGATATTTTGATAGCTTTGAGGATTTCGTTGGAAACGGGATTGTCTTCATATAAACTCTAGACAGAAGCATTCTCAGAAGCTTCATTGGGATGTTTCAATTGAAGTCACAGTGTTGAACAGTACCTTTCATAGAGCAGGTTTGAAACACACTTTTTGTAGTATCTGGATGTGGACATTTGGAGCGCTTTCAGGCCTATGGTGAAAAAGGAAATATCTTCCCCTGAAAACTAGACAGAAGCATTCTCAGAAACTTATTTGTGATGTGCGCCCTCAGCTAACAGAGTTGAAACTTTCTTTTGAGAGAGCAGTTTTGAAACACTCTTTTTGTGGAATCTGGAAGTGGATATTTGTCTAGCTTTGAGGATTTCGTTGGAAACGGGATTAAATATAAAAAGCAGACAGCAGCATTCTCAGAATCTTATTTGTGATGTGCGCCCTCAACTAACAGTGTTGAAGCTTTCTTTTGATAGAGCAGTTTTGAAACACTCTTTTCGTAAAATCTCTAAGAGGATATTTTGATAGCTTTGAGGATTTCGTTGGAAACGGGATTGTCTTCATATAAACTCTAGACAGAAGCATTCTCAGAAGCTTCATTGGGATGTTTCAGTTGAAGTCACAGTGTTGAACAGTCCCTTTCATAGAGCAGGTTTGAAACACTCTTTTTGTAGTATCTGGAAGTGGACATTTGGAGCGCTCTCAGGACTGCGGTGAAAAAGGAAATATCTTCCAATAAAAGCTACATAGAAGCAATGTCAGAAAATTTTTCATGATGTATCTACTCAGCTAACAGAGTTGAACCTTTCTTTTGAGACAGCAGTTTGGAAACCCTCTTTTTGTGGAATCTGCAAGTGGATATTTGTCTAGCATTGAGGATTGCGTTTGAAACGGGGTTACATATAAAAAGCAGACAGCAGCATTCCCAGAATCTTGTTTGTGATGTTTGCATTCAAGTCACAGAGTTGAACATTCCCTTTCATAGAGCAGGTTTGAAACACTCTTTTTATAGTATCTGGATGTGGACATTTGGAGCGCTTTCAGGCCTATGGTGAAAAAGGATATATCTTCTCCTGAAAACTAGACAGAAGCATTCTCAGAAACTTATTTGTGATGTGCGCCCTCAACTAACAGTGTTAAACCTTTCTTTTGATAGAGTAGTTTTGAAACACTGTTTGTGTAAAATCTGCAAGAGGATATTTGGATAGCTTTGAGGATTTCGTTGGAAACGGGATTGTCTTCATATAAAATCTAGACAGAAGCATTCTCAGAAGCTTCATTGGGATGTTTCAATTGAAGTCACAGTGTTGAACAGTCCCTTTCATATAGCAGGTTTGAAACACTCTTTTTGTAGTATCTGGAAGTGGACATTTTGAGCGCTCTCAGGACTACGGTGAAAAAGGAAATATCTTCCAATAAAAGCTAGATAGAAGCAATGTCAGAAAATTTTTCATGATGTATCTACTCAGCTAACAGAGTTGAACCTTTCTTTTGAGAGAGCAGTTTTGAAACACTCTTTTTGTGGAATCTGCAAGTGGATATTTGTCTAGCTTTGAGGATTTCGTTGGAAACGGGATTACATATAAAAAGCAGACAGCAGCATTCCCAGAAACTTCTTTGTGATGTTTGCATTCACGTCACAGAGTTGAACATTCCCTTTCATAGAGCAGGTTTGAAACACTCTTTTTGTAGTATCTGGATGTGGACATTTGGAGCGCTTTCAGGCCTATGGTGAAAAAGGAAATATCTTCCCCTGAAAACTAGACAGAAGCATTCTCAGAATCTTATTTGTGATGTGCGCCCTCAACTAACAGTGTTGAAGCTTTCTTTTGATAGAGCAGTTTTGAAACACTCTTTTTGTAAAATCTGCAAGAGGATATTTGGATAGCTTTGAGGATTTCGTTGGAAACGGGATTGTCTTCATATAAACTCTAGACAGAAGCATTCTCAGAAGCTTCATTGGGATGTTTCAATTGAAGTCACAGTGTTGAACAGTCCCTTTCATAGAGCAGGTTTGAAACACTCTTTTTGTAGTATCTGGATGTGGACATTTGGAGCGCTTTCAGGCCTACGGTGAAAAAGGAAATATCTTCCCCTGAAAACTAGACAGAAGCAATCTCAGAAACTTATTTGTGATGTGCGCCCTCAACTAACAGTGTTGAAGCTTTCTTTTGATAGAGCAGTTTTGAAACACTCTTTTTGTGGAATCTGCAAGTGGATATTTGTCTAGCTTTGAGGATTTCGTTGGAAACGGGATTACATATAAAAAGCAGACAGCAGCATTCTCAGAAACTTATTTGTGATGTGCGCCCTCAACTAACAGTGGTGAAGCTTTCTTTTGATAGAGCAGTTTTGAAACACTCTTTTTGTAATATCTGCAAGAGGATATTTGGATAGCTTTGAGGATTTCGTTGGAAACGGGATTGTCTTCATATAAACTCTAGACAGAAGCATTCTCAGAAGCTTCATTGGGATGTTTCAATTGAAGTCACAGTGTTGAACAGTTCCTTTCATAGAACAGGTTTGAAACACTCTTTTTGTAGTATCTGGAAGTGGACATTTGGAGCGCTCTCAGGACTACGGTGAAAATGGAAATATCTTCCAATAAAAGCTACATAGAAGCAATGTCAGAAACTTTTTCATGATGTATCTACTCAGCTAACAGAGTTGGACCTTTCTTTTGAGAGAGCAGCTTTGAAACACTCTTTTTGTGGAATCTGCAAGTGGATATTTGTCTAGCTTTGAGGATTTCGTTGGAAACGGGATTACATATAAAAACCAGACAGCAGCATTCCCAGAAACTTCTTTGTGAAATTTGCATTCAAGTCACAGACTTGAACATTCCCTTTCATAGAGCAGGTTTGAAACACTCTTTTTGTAGTATCTGGATGTGGACATTTGGAGCGCTTTCAGGCCTATGGTGAAAAAGGAAATATCTTCTCCTGAAAACTAGACAGAAGCATTCTCAGAATCTTATTTGTGATGTGCGCCCTCAACTAACAGTGTTGAAGCTTTCTTTTGATAGAGCAGTTTTGAAACACTCTTTTCGTAAAATCTGCAAGAGGATATTTTGATAGCTTTGAGGATTTCGTTGGAAACGGGATTGTCTTCATATAAACTCTAGACAGAAGCATTCTCAGAAGCTTCATTGGGATGTTTCAATTGAAGTCACAGTGTTGAACAGTCCCTTTCATAGAGCAGGTTTGAAACACTCTTTTTGTAGTATCTGGATGTGGACATTTGGAGCGCTTTCAGGCCTATTTTTTAAAAGGAAATATCTTCCCCTGAAAACTAGACAGAAGCATTCTCTGAAACTTATTTGTGATGTGTGTACTCAACTAACAGAATTGAACCATCGTTTTGAAAGAGCAATTTTGAAACACTCTTTTTCTGGAATCTGCAAGTCGATATTTGTCTAGCATTGAGGATTTCGTTGGAAACGGGATTACATATAAAAGCAGACAGCAGCATTCTCAGAAACTTATTTGTGATGTGCGCCCTCAACTAACAGTGTTGAAGCTTTCTTTTGATAGAGCAGTTTTGAAACACTCTTTTTGTAATATCTGCAAGAGGATATTTGGATAGCTTTGAGGATTTCGTTGGAAACGGGATTAATTATACAAAGCAGACAGCAGCATTCTCAGAACCTTCATTGGGATGTTTCAATTGAAGTCACAGTGTTGAACAGTCCCTTTCATAGAGCAGGTTTGAAACACTCTTTTTGTAGTATCTGGATGTGGACATTTGGAGAGATCTCAGGAATACGGTGATAAAGGAAATATCTTCCAATAAAAGCTAGATAGAAGCAATGTCAGAAACTTTTTCATGATGTATCTACTCAGCTAACAGAGTTGAACCTTTCTTTTGAGAGAGCAGTTTTGGAACACTCTTTTTGTGGAATCTGCAAGTGGATATTTGTCTAGTTTGAGGATTTCGTTGGAAACGGGATTACATATAAAAAGCAGACAGCAGCATTCCCAGTAACTTCTTTGTGATGTTTGCATTCAAGTCACAGAGTTGAACATTCCCTTTCATAGAGCAGGTTTGAAAGACTCTTTTTGTAGTATCTGGATGTGGACATTTGGAGCGCTTTGAGGCCTATGGTGAAAAAGGAAATATCTTCCCCTGAAAACTAGACAGAAGTATTCTCAGAAACTTATTTGTGATGTGTGCCCCCAACTAACAGTGTTGAAGCTTTCTTTTGATAGAGCAGTTTTGAAACATTCTTTTTGTAAAATCTGCAAGAGGATATTTGGATAGCTTTGAGGATTTCGTTGGAAACGGGATTGTCTTCATATTAACCCTAGACAGTAGCATTCTCAGAAGCTTCATTGGGATGTTTCAATTGAAGTCACAGTGTTGAACAGTTCCTTTCATAGAGCAGGTTTGAAACACTCTTTTTGTAGCATCTGGAAGTGGACATTTGGAGCGTTCTCAGCACTACGGTGCAAAAGGAAATATCTTCCAATAAAAGCTAGATAGAAGCAATATCAGAAACTTTTTCATGATGTATCTACTGAGCTAAAAGAGTTGAACCTTTCTTTTGAGAGAGCAGTTTTGAAACACTCTTTTTGTGGAATCTGCAAGTGGATATTTTTCTAGATTTGAGGATTGCGTTGGAAACGGGATTACATATAAAAAGCAGACAGCAGCATTCCCAGAATGTTCTTTGTGAAATTTGCATTCAAGTCAAAGACTTGAACATTCCCTTTCATAGAGCAGGTTTGAAACACTCTTTTTGTAGTATCTGGATGTGGACATTTGGAGCGCTTTCAGGCCTATGGTGAAAAAGGAAATATCTTCCCCTGAAAACTAGACAGAAGCATTCTCAGAAACTTATTTGTGATGTGCGCCCTCAACTAACAGTGTTGAACCTTTCTTTTGAAAGAGCAGTTTTGAAACACTCTTTTTGTAAAATCTGCAAGAGGATATTTGGATAGCTTTGAGGATTTCGTTGGAAACGGGATTGTCTTCATATAGAATCTAGACAGAAGCATTCTCAGAAGCTTCATTGGGATGTTTCAATTGAAGTCACAGTGTTGAACAGTCCCTTTCATAGAGCAGGTTTGAAACACTCTTTTTGTAGTATCTGGATGTGGACATTTAGAGCGCTTTCAGGCCTATGGTGAAAAAGGAAATATCTTCCTCTGAAAACTAGACAGAAGCATTCTCAGAATCTTATTTGTGATGTGCGCCCTCAACTAACAATGTTGAAGCTTTCTTTTGATAGAGCAGTTTTGAAACACTCTTTTTGTGGAATCTGCATGTGGATATTTTTCTAGCTTTGAGGATTTCGTTGGAAACGGGATTACATATAAAAAGCAGACAGCAGCATTCCCAGACAACATCTTTGTGATGTTTGCATTCAAGTCACAGAGTTCAACATTCCCTTTCATAGAGCAGGTTTGAAACACTCTTTTTGTAGTATCTGGATGTGGACATTTGGAGCGCTTTCAGGCCTATGGTGAAAAAGGAAATATCTTCCCCTGAAAACTAGACAGAAGCATTCTCAGAAACTTATTTGTGATGTGCGCCCTCAACTAACAGTGTTGAACCTTTCTTTTGATAGAGTAGCTTTGAAACACTCTTTTTGTAAAATCTGCAAGAGGATATTTGGATAGCTTTGAGGATTTCGTTGTAAACGGGATTGTCTTCATACAAACTCTAGACAGTAGCATTCCCAGAAACTTCTTTGTGATGTTTGCATTCAAGTCACAGAGTTGAACATTCCCTTTCTTAGAGCAGGTTTGAAACACTCTTTTTGTAGTATCTGGATGTGGACATTTGGAGCGCTTTCAGGCCTATGGTGAAAAAGGAAATATCTTCCTCTGAAAACTAGACAGAAGCATTCTCAGAAACTTATTTGTGATGTGCGCCCTCAACTAACAGTGTTGAAGCATTCTTTTGATAGAGCAGTTTTGAAACACTCTTTTTGTGGAATCTGCAAGTGGATATTTGTCTAGCTTTGAGGATTTCGTTGGAAACAGGATTACATATAAAAAGCAGACAGCAGCATTCTCAGAAACTTATTTGTGATGTGCGCCCTCAACTAACAGTGTTGAAGCTTTCTTTTGATAGAGCAGTTTTGAAACACTCTTTTTGTAATATCTGCAAGAGGATATTTGGATAGCTTTGAGGATTTCGTTGGAAACGGGATTAATTATACAAAGCAGACAGCAGCATTCTCAGAAGCTTCATTGGGATGTTTCAATTGAAGTCACAGTGTTGAACAGTCCCTTTCATAGAGCAGGTTTGAAACACTCTTTGTGTAGTATCTGGAAGTGGACATTTGGAGCGCTCTCAGGACTCTGGTGAAAAAGGAAATATCTTCCAATAAAAGCTAGATAGAAGCAATGTCAGAAACTTTTTCATGATGTATCTACTCAGCTAACAGAGTTGAACCTTCCTTTGAGAGAGCAGTTTTGAAACACTCTTTTTGTGGAATCTGCAAGTGGATATTTGTCTAGCTTTGAGGATTTCGTTGGAAACGGGATTACATATAAAAAGCAGACAGCAGCATTCCCAGAAACTTCTTTGTGATGTTTGCATTCAAGTCACAGAGTTGAACATTCCCTTCCATAGAGCAGGTTTGAAACACTCTTTTTCTAGTATCTGGATGTGGACATTTGCAGCGCTTTCAGGCCTAAGGTGAAAAAGGAAATATCTTCCCCTGAAAACTAGACAGAAGCATTCTCAGAAACTTATTTGTGATGTGCGCCCTCAACTAACAGTGTTGAAGCTTTCTTTTGATAGAGCAGTTTTGAAACACTCTTTTTGTAATATCTGCAAGAGGATATTTGGATAGCTTTGAGGATTTCGTTGGAAACGGGATTGTCTTCATATAAACTCTAGGCAGAAGCATTCTCAGAAGCTTCATTGGTATGTTTCAATTGAAGTCACAGTGTTGAACAGTTCCTTTCATAGAACAGGTTTGAAACACTCTTTTTGTAGTATCTGGAAGTTGACATTTGGAGCGCTCTCAGGACTACGGTGAAAAAGGAAATATCTTCCAATAAAAGCTAGATAGAAGCAATGTCAGAAACTTTTTCATGATGTATCTACTCAGCTAACAGAGTTGAACCTTTCCTTTGAGAGAGCAGTTTTGAAACACTCTTTTTGTGGAATCTGCAAGTGGATATTTGCTTAGATTTGAGGATTTCGTTGGAAACGGGATTACATATAAAAAGCAGACAGCAGCATTCCCAGAATCTTGTTTGTGATGTTTGCATTCAAGTCACAGAGTTGAACATTCCCTTTCAGAGAGCAGGTTTGAAACACTCTTTTTATAGTATCTGGATGTGGACATTTGGAGCGCTTTCAGGCCTATGATGAAAAAGGAAATATCTTCTCCTGAAAACTAGACAGAAGCATTCTCAGAAACTTATTTGTGATGTGCGCCCTCAACTAACAGTGTTGAAGCTTTCTTTTGATAGAGCAGTTTTGAAACACTCTTTTTGTAATATCTGCAAGAGGATATTTGGATAGCTTTGAGGATTTCGTTGGAAACGGGATTGTCTTCATATAAACTCTAGGCAGAAGCATTCTCAGAAGCTTCATTGGGATGTTTCAATTGAAGTCACAGTGTTGAACAGTCCCTTTCATAGAGCAGGTTGGAAACACTCTTTTTGTAGTATCTGGAAGTGGACATTTGGAGCGCTCTCAGGACTACGGTGAAAAAGGAAATATCTTCCAATAAAAGCTAGATAGAAGCAATGTCAGAAACTTTTTCATGATGTATCTACTCAGCTAACAGAGTTGAAACTTTCTTTTGAGAGAGCAGTTTTGAAACACTCTTTTTGTGGAATCTGCAAGTGGATATTTGTCTAGCTTTGAGGATTTCGTTGGAAACGGGATTACATATAAAAAGCAGACAGCAGCATTCCCAGTAACTTCTTTGTGATGTTTGCATTCAAGTCACAGAGTTGAACATTCCCTTTAATAGAGCAGGTTTGAAACACTCTTTTTGTAGTATCTGGATGTGGACATTTGGAGCGCTTTCAGGCCTACGGTGAAAAAGGAAATATCTTCCCCTGAAAACTAGACAGAAGCATTCTCAGAAACTTATTTGTGATGTGCGCCTTCAACTAACAGTGTTGAAGCTTTCTTTTGATAGAGCAGTTTTGAAACACTCTTTTTGTAAAATCTGCAAGAGGATATTTGGATAGCTTTGAGGATTTCGTTGGAAACGTGATTGTCTTCATATAAACTCTAGACAGAAGCATTCTGAGAAGCTTCATTGGGATGTTTCAATTGAAGTCACAGTGTTGAACAGTCCCTTTAATATAGCAGGTTTGAAACACTCTTTTTGTAGCATCTGGAAGTGGACATTTGGAGCGCTCTCAGGACTATGGTGAAAAAGGAAATATCTTCCAATAAAAGCTAGATAGAAGCAATGTCAGAAACTTTTTCATGATGTATCTACTCAGCTAACAGAGTTGAACATTTTGTTTGAGAGAGCAGTTTTGAAACACGCTTTTTGAGGAATCTATAGGTGGATATTTGTCTAGCATTCAGGATTTCGTTGGAAACGGGATTACATATAAAAAGAAGACAGCAGCATTCCCAGTAACTTCTTTGTGATGTTTGCATTCAAGTCACAGAGTTGAACATTCCCTTTCATAGAGCAGGTTTGAAACACTCTTTTTGTAGTATCTGGATGTGGACATTTGCAGCGCTTTCAGGCCTAAGGTGAAAAAGGAAATATCTTCCCCTGAAAACTAGACAGAAGCATTCTCCGAAACTTATTTGTGATGGGCGCCCTCAACTAACAGTGTTGAAGCTTTCTTTTGATAGAGCAGTTTTGAAACACTCTTTTTGTAATATCTGCAAGAGGATATTTGGATAGCTTTCAGGATTTCGTTGGAAACGGGATTGTCTTCATATAAACTCTAGACATAAGCATTCTCAGAAGCTTCATTGGGATGTTTCAATTGAAGTGACAGTGTTGAACATTTCCTTTCATAGAACAGGTTTGAAACACTCTTTTTGTAGTATCTGGAAGTGGACATTTGGAGCGCTCTGAGGACTATGGTGAAAAAGGAAATATCTTCCAATAAAAGCTACATAGAAAGCAATGTCAGAAACTTTTTCATGATGTATCTACTCAGCTAACAGAGTTGAACCTTTCCTTTGAGAGAGCAGTTTTGAAACACTCTTTTTGTGGAATCTGCAAGTGGATATTTGTCTAGCTTTGAGGATTTCGTTGGAAACGGGATTACATATAAAAAGCAGACAGCAGCATTCACAGTAACTTCTTTGTGATGTTTGCATTCAAGTCACAGAGTTGAACATTCCCTTTCATAGAGCAGGTTTGAAACACTCTTTTTGTAGTATCTGGATGTGGACATTTGGAGCGCTTTCAGGCCTATGGTGAAAAAAGAAATATCTTCCCCTGAAAACTAGACAGAAGCATTCTCAGAATCTTATTTGTGATGTGCGCCCTCAACTAACAGTGTTGAAGCTTTCTTTTGATAGAGCAGTTTTGAAACACTCTTTTCGTAAAATCTGCAAGAGGATATTTTGATAGCTTTCAGGATTTCGTTGGAAACGGGATTGTCTTCATATAAACTCTAGACAGAAGCATTCTCAGAAGCTTCATTGGGATGTTTCAATTGAAGTCACAGTGTTGAACAGTCCCTTTCATAGAGCAGGTTTGAAACACTCTTTTTGTAGTATCTGGATGTGGACATTTCGAGCGCTTTCAGGCCTATGGTGAAAAAGGAAATATCTTCCCCTGAAAACTAGACAGAAGCATTCTCAGAAACTTATTTGTGATGTGCGCCCTCAACTAACAGTGTTGAAGCTTTCTCTTGATAGAGCAGTTTTGAAACACTCTTTTTGTGGAATCTGCACGTGGATATTTGTCTAGCTTTGAGGATTTCGTTGGAAACGGGATTACATATAAAAAGCAGACAGCAGCATTCTCAGTAAACTTATTTGTGATGTGCGCCCTCAACTAACAGTGTTGAACCTTTCTTTTGATAGAGCAGTTTTGAAACACTCTTTTTGTAATATCTGCAAGAGGATATTTGGATAGCTTTGAGGATTTCGTTGGAAACGGGATTGTCTTCATATAAACTCTAGACAGAAGCATTCTCAGAAGCTTCATTGGGATGTTTCAATTGAAGTCACAGTGTTGAACAGTCCCTTTCATAGAGCAGGTTTGAAACACTCTTTTTGTAGTATCTGGAAGTGGACATTTGGAGCGCTCTCAGGACTGCGGTGAAAAAGGAAATATCTTCCAACAAAAGCTAGATAGAAGCAATGTCAGAAACTTTTTCATGATGTATCTACTCAGCTAACAGAGTTGAACCTTTCTTTTGAGAGAGCAGTTTTGAAACACTCTTTTTGTGGAATCTGCAAGTGGATATTTGTCTAGCTTTGAGGATTTCGTTGGAAATGGGATTACATATAAAAAGCAGACAGCAGCATTCCCAGAAACTTCTTTGTGATGTTTGCATTCAAGTCACAGAGTTGAACATTCCCTTTCATAGAGCAGGTTTGAAACACTCTTTTTGTAGTATCTGGATGTGGACATTTGGAGCGCTTTCAAGCCTATGGTGAAAAAGGAAATATCTTCCCCTGAAAACTAGACAGAAGCATTCTCAGGAACTTATTTGTGATGTGCGCCCTCAACTAACAGTGTTGAAGCTTTCTTTTGATAGAGCAGTTTTGAAACACTCTTTTTGTGGAATCTGCAAGTGGATATTTGTCTAGCTTTGAGGATTTCGATGGAAACGGGATTACATATAAAAAGCAGACAGCAAGGATTCTCAGAATCTTATTTGTGATGTGCGCCCTCAACTAACAGTGTTGAAGCTTTCTTTTGATAGAGCAGTTTTGAAACACTCTTTTTGTAAAATCTGCAAGAGGATATTTGGATAGCTTTGAGGATTTCGTTGGAAACGGGATTGTCTTCATATAAACTCTATACAGAAGCATTCTCAGAAGCTTCATTGGGATGTTTCAATTGAAGTCACAGTGTTGAACAGTCCCTTTCATAGAGCAGGTTTGAAACACTCTTTTTGTACTATCTGGAAGTGGACATTTGGAGCGCTCTCAGGACTACGGTGAAAAAGGAAATATCTTCCAATAAAAGCTAGATAGAAGCAATGTCAGAAACTTTTTCATGATGTATCTACTCAGCTAAAAGAGTTGAACCTTTCTTTTGAGAGAGCAGTTTTGAAACACTATTTTTGTGGAATCTGCAAGTGGATATTTGTCTAGCTTTGAGGATTTCGTTGGAAACGGGATTACATATAAAAAGCAGACAGCAGCATTCCCAGAATCTTGTTTGTGATGTTTGCATTCATGTCACAGAGTTGAACATTCCCTTTCAGAGAGCAGGTTTGAAACACTCTTTTTATAGTATCTGGATGTGGACATTTGGAGCGCTTTCAGGCCTATGGTGAAAAAGGAAATATCTTCTCCTGAAAACTAGACAGAAGCATTCTCAGAAACTTATTTGTGATGTGCGCCCTCAACTAACAGTGTTGAACCTTTCTTTTGATAGAGCAGTTTTGAAACACTCTTTTTGTAAAATCTGCAAGAGGATATTTGGATAGCTTTGAGGATTTCTTTGGAAACGGGATTGTCTTCATATAAACTCTAGACAGAAGCATTCTCAGAAGCTTCATTGGGATGTTTCAATTGAAGTCACAGTGTTGAACAGTCCCTTTCATAGAGCAGGTTTGAAACACTCTTTTTGTAGTATCTGGAAGTGGACATTTGGAGAGATCTCAGGAATACGGTGATAAAGGAAATATCTTCCAATAAAAGCTAGATAGAAGCAATGTCAGAAACTTTTTCATGATGTATCTACTCAGCTAACAGAGTTGAACCTTTCTTTTGAGAGAGCAGTTTTGAAACACTCTTTTTGTGGAATCTGCAAGTGGATATTTGTCTACATTTGAGGATTTCGTTGGAAACGGGATTACATATAAAAAGCAGACAGCAGCATTCCCAGAAACTTCTTTGTGATGTTTGCATTCAAGTCACAGAGTTGAACATTCCCTTTCATAGAGCAGGTTTGAAACACTCTTTTTGTAGTATCTGGATGTGGACATTTGCAGCGCTTTCAGGCCTAAGGTGAAAAAGGAAATATCTTCCCCTGAAAACTAGACAGAAGCATTCTCAGAATCTTATTTGTGATGTGCGCCCTCAACTAACAGTGTTGAACCTTTCTTTTGATAGAGCAGTTTTGAAACACTCTTTTTGTAAAATCTGCAAGAGGATATTTGGATAGCTTTGAGGATTTCGTTGGAAACGGGATTGTCTTCATATAAACTCTAGACAGTAGTATTCTCAGAAGCTTCATTGGGATGTTTCAATTGAAGTCACAGTGTTGAACAGTCCCTTTCATAGAGCATGTTTGAAACAATCTTTTTGTAGTATCTGGAAGTGGACATTTGGAGCGCTCTCAGGACTACGGTGAAAAAGGAAATATCTTCCAAATAAAGCTAGATAGAAGCAATGTCAGAAAATTTTTCATGATGTATCTACTCAGCTAACAGAGTTGAACCTTTCTTTTGAGAGAGCAGTTTTGAAACACTCTTTTTGTGGAATCTGCAAGTGGATATTTGTCTAGCTTTGAGGATTTCGTTGGAAACGGGATTACATATAAAAAGCAGACAGCAGCATTCCCAGAAACTTCTTTGTGATGTTTGCATTCAAGTCACAGATTTGAACATTCCCTTTCATAGAGCAGGTTTGAAACACACTTTTAGTAGTATCTGTATGTGGACATTTGGAGCGCTTTCAGGCCTATGGTGATAAAGGAAATATCTTCCCCTGAAAACTAGACAGAAGCATTCTCAGAAACCTATTTGTGATGTGCGCCCTCAACTAACAGTGTTTAACCTTTCTTTTGATAGAGCAGTTTTGAAACACTCTTTTTGTAATATCTGCAAGAGGATATTTGGATAGCTTTGAGGATTTCGTTGGAAACGGGATTGTCTTCATATAAACTCTAGACAGAAGAAATGTCAGAAACTTTTTCATGATGTATCTACTCAGCTAACAGAGTTGAACCTTTCTTTTGAGAGAGCAGTTTTGAAACACTCTTTTTGTGGAATCTGCAAGTGGATATTTGTCTAGCTTTGAGGATTTCGTTGGAAACGGGATTACATATAAAAAGCAGTCAGCAGCATTCCCAGAAACTTCTTTGTGATGTTTGCATTCAAGTCACAGAGTTGAACATTCCCTTTCATAGAGCAGGTTTGAAACACTCTTTTTGTAGTGTCTGGATGTGGACATTTGGAGCGCTTTCACGCCTATGGTGAAAAAGGAAATATCTTCCCCTGAAAACTAGACAGAAGCATTCTCAGAAACTTATCTGTGATGTGCGCCCTCAACTAACAGTGTTGAAGCTTTGTTTTGATAGAGCAGTTTTGAAACACTCTTTTTGTAAAATCTGCAAGAGGATATTTGGATAGCTTTGAGGATTTCGTTGGAAACGGGATTGTCTTCATAAAAACTCTAGACAGAAGCATTCTCAGAAGCTTCATTGGGATGTTTCAACTGAAGTCACAGTGTTGAACAGTCCCTTTCATAGAGCAGGTTTGAAACACTCTTTTTGTAGTATCTGGAAGTGGACATTTGGAGCGCTACTCAGGACTATGGTGAAAAAGGAAATATCTTCCAATAAAAGCTACATAGAAGCAATGTCAGAAACTTTTTCATGATGTATCTACTCAGCTAACAGAGTTGAACCTTTCCTTTGAGAGAGCAGTTTTGAAACACTCTTTTTGTGGAATCTGCAAGTGGATATTTGTCTAGCTTTGAGGATTTCGTTGGAAACGGGATTACATATAAAAAGCAGACAGCAGCATTCCCAGAATCTTGTTGGTGATGTTTGCATTCAAGTCACAGAGTTGAACATTCCCTTTCAGAGAGCAGGTTTGAAACACTCTTTTTATAGTATCTGGATGTGGACATTTGGAGCGCTTTCAGGCCTATGGTGAAAAAGGAAATATCTTCTCCTGAAAACTAGACAGAAGCATTCTCAGAATCTTATTTGTGATGTGCGCCCTCAACTAACAGTGTTGAAGCTTTGTTTTGATAGAGCAGTTTTGAAACACTCTTTTTGTAAAATCTGCAAGAGGATATTTGGATAGCTTTGAGGATTTCGTTGGAAACGGGATTGTCTTCATATAAACTCTAGACAGTAGCATTCTCAGAAGCGTCATTGGGATGTTTCAATTGAAGTCACAGTGTTGAACAGTCCCTTTCATAGAGCAGGTTTGAAACACTCTTTTTGTAGTATCTGGATGTGGACATTGGGAGCGCTTTCAGGCCTATGGTTTAAAAGGAAATATCTTCCCCTGAAAACTAGACAGAAGCATTCTCAGAAACTTATTTGTGATGTGCGCCCTCAAGTAAGAGTGTTGAAGCATTCTTTTGATAGAGCAGTTTTGAAACACTCTTTTTGTGGAATCTGCAAGTGGATATTTGTCTAGCTTTGAGGATTTCGTTGGAAACGGGATTACATATAAAAAGCAGACAGCAGCATTCTCAGTAAACTTATTTGTGATGTGCGCCCTCAACTAACAGTGTTGAACCTTTCTTTTGATAGAGCAGTTTTGAAACACTCTTTTTGTAATATCTGCAAGAGGATATTTGGATAGCTTTGAGGATTTCGTTGGAAACGGGATTGTCTTCATATAAACTCTAGACAGAAGCATTCTCAGAAGCTTCATTGGGATGTTTCAATTGAAGTCACACTGTTGAACAGTTCCTTTCATAGAGCAGGTTTGAAACACTCTTTTTGTAGTATCTGGAAGTGGACATTTGGAGCGCTCTCAGGACTACGGTGAAAAAGGGAATATCTTCCAATAAAAGCTACATAGAAGCAATGTCAGAAACTTTTTCATGATGTATCTACTCAGCTAACAGAGTTGAACCTTTCCTTTGAGAGAGCAGTTTTGAAACACTCTTTTTGTGGAATCTGCAAGTGGATATTTGTCTAGCTTTGAGGATTTCGTTGGAAACGGGATTACATATAAAAAGCAGACAGCAGCATTCCCAGAAACTTCTTTGTGATGTTTGCATTCAACTCACAGAGTTGAACATTCCCTTTCATAGAGCAGGTTTGAAACACTCTTTTTGTAGTATCTGGATGTGGACATTTGGAGCGCTTTCAGGCCTATGGTGAAAAAGGAAATATCTTCCCCTGAAAACTAGACAGAAGCATTCTCAGACACTTATTTGTGATGTGCGCCCTCAACTAACAGTGTTGAAGCTTTCTTTTGATAGAGCAGTTTTGAAACACTCTTTTTGTAATATCTGCAAGAGGATATTTGGATAGCTTTGAGGATTTCGTTGGAAACGGGATTAATTATAAAAAGCAGACAGCAGCATTCTCAGAAACTTATTTGTGATGTGCGCCCTCAACTAACAGTGTTGAAGCTTTATTTTGATAGAGCAGTTTTGAAACACTCTTTTTGTAATATCTGCAAGAGAATATTTGGATAGCTTTGAGGATTTCGTTGGAAACGGGATTGTCTTCATATAAACTCTAGAAAGAAGCATTCTGATAAGCTTCATAGGGATGTTTCAATTGAAGTCACAGTGTTGAACAGTCACTTTCATAGAGCAGGTTTGAAACACTCTTTTTGTAGCATCTGGAAGTGGACATTTGGAGCACTCTCAGGACTACGGTGAAAAAGGAAATATCTTCCAATAAAAGCTAGTTAGAAGCAATATCATAAACTTTTTCATGATGTATCTACTCAGCTAAAAGAGTTGAACCTTTCTTTTGAGAGAGCAGTTTTCAAACACTCTTTTTGTGGAATCTGCAAGTGGATATTTGTCTGGCTTTGAAGATTTCGTTGGAAACGGGATTACATATAAAAAGCAGACAGCAGCATTCCCAGAAACTTCTTTGTGAAGTTTGCATTCAAGTCACAGAGTTGAACATTCCCTTTCATAGAGCAGGTTTGAAACACTCTTTTTGTAGTATCTGTATGTGGACATTTGGAGCGCTTTCAGGCCTATGGTGAAAAAGGAAATATCTTCCCCTGAAAACTAGACAGAAGCATTCTCAGAATCTTATTTGTGATGTGCGCCCTCAACTAACAGAGTTGAAGCTTTCTTTTGATAGAGCAGTTTTGAAACACTCTTTTTGTAAAATCTGCAAGAGGATATTTGGATAGCTTTGAGGATTTCGTTGGAAACGGGATTGTCTTCATATAAACTCTAGACAGAAGCATTCTCAGAAGCTTCATTGGGATGTTTCAATTGAAGTCACAGTGTTGAACAGTCCCTTTCATAGAGCAGGTTTGAAACACTCTTTTTGTAGTATCTGGATGTGGACATTTGGAGCGCTTTCAGGCATATGGTGAAAAAGGAAATATCTTCCCCTGAAAACTAGACAGAAGCATTCTCAGAAACTTATTTGTGATGTGCGCCCTCAACTAACAGTGTTGAACCTTTCTTTTGATAGAGCAGTTTTGAAACACTCTTTTTGTAATATCTGCAAGAGGATATTTGGATAGCTTTGAGGATTTCGTTGGAAACGGGATTACATATAAAAAGCAGACAGCAGCATTCTCAGAAACTTATTTGTGATGTGCGCCCTCAACTAACAGTGTTGAAGCTTTATTTTGATAGAGCAGTTTTGAAACACTCTTTTTGTAATATCTGCAAGAGAATATTTGGATAGCTTTGAGGATTTCGTTGGAAACGGGATTGTCTTCATATAAACTCTAGAAAGAAGCATTCTCAGAAGCTTCATTGGGATGTTTCAATTGAAGTCACAGTGTTGAACAGTCCCTTTCATAGATCATGTTTGAAACACTCTTTTTGTAGTATCTGGAAGTTGACATTTGGAGCGTTTTCAGGACTACGGTGAAAAAGGAAATATCTTCCAAATAAAGCTAGATAGAAGCAATGTCAGTAAACTTTTTCATGATGTATCTACTCAGCTAAAAGAGTTGAACCTTCCTTTGAGAGAGCAGTTTTGAAACACTCTTTTTGTGGAATCTGCAAGTGGATATTTGTCTAGCTTTGAGGATTTCGTTGGAAACGGGATTACATATAAAAAGCAGACAGCAGCATTCCCAGTAATCTTCTTTGTGATGTTTGCATTCAAGTCACAGAGTTGAACATTCCCTTTCATAGAGCAGGTTTGAAACACTCTTTTTGTAGTATCTGGATGTGGACATTTGGAGCGCTTTCAGGCCTATGGTGAAAAAGGAAATATCTTCCCCTGAAAACTAGACAGAAGCATTCTCAGAATCTTATTTGTGATGTGCGCCCTCAACTAACAGTGTTGAAGCTTTCTTTTGATAGAGCAGTTTTGAAACACTCTTTTTGTAAAATCTGCAAGAGGATATTTGGATAGCTTTGAGGATTTCGTTGGAAACGGGATTGTCTTCATATAAACTCTAGACAGAAGCATTCTCAGAAGCTTCATTGGGATGTTTCAATTGAAGTCACAGTGTTGAACAGTCCCTTTCATAGAGCAGGTTTGAAACACTCATTTGTAGTATCTGGATGTGGACATTTGGAGCGCTTTCAGGCCTATGGTGAAAAAGGAAATATCTTCCCCTGAAAACTAGACAGAAGCATTCTCAGAAACTTATTTGTGATGTGCGCCCTCAACTAACAGTGTTGAACCTTTCTTTTGATAGAGCAGTTTTGAAACACTCTTTTTGTAATATCTGCAAGAGGATATTTGGATAGCTTTGAGGATTTCGTTGGAAACGGGATTAATTATAAAAAGCAGACAGCAGCATTCTCAGTAAACTTATTTGTGATGTGCGCCCTCAACTAACAGTGTTGAACCTTTCTTTTGATAGAGCAGTTTTGAAACACTCTTTTTGTAATATCTGCAAGAGGATATTTGGATAGCTTTGAGGATTTCGTTGGAAACGGGATTGTCTTCATATAAACTCTAGACAGAAGCATTCTCAGAAGCTTCATTGGGATGTTTCAATTGAAGTCACAGTGTTGAACAGTCCCTTTCATAGAGCAGGTTTGAAACACTCTTTTTGTAGTATCTGGAAGTGGACATTTGGAGCGCTCTCAGGACTACGGTGAAAAAGGAAATATCTTCCAATAAAAGCTAGATAGAAGCAATGTCAGAAAATTTTTCATGATGTATCTACTCAGCTAACAGAATTTAACCTTTCTTTTGAGAGAGCAGTTTTGAAACACTCTTTTTGTGGAATCTGCAAGTGGATATTTGTCTAGGTTTGAGGATTTCGTTGGAAACGGGATTACATATAAAAAGCAGACAGCAGCATTCCCAGGAACTTCTTTGTGATGTTGGCATTCAAGTCACAGAGTTGAACATTCCCTTTCATAGAGCAGGTTTGAAACACTCTTTTTGTAGTATCTGGATGTGGACATTTGGAGCGCTTTCAGGCCTATGGTGAAAAAGGAAATATCTTCCCCTGAAAACTAGACAGAAGAATTCTCAGAATCTTATTTGTGATGTGCGCCATCAACTAACAGTGTTGAAGCTTTCTTTTGATAGAGCAGTTTTGAAACACTCTTTTTGTAAAATCTGCAAGAGGATATTTGGATAGCTTTGAGGATTTCGTTGGAAACGGGATTGTCTTCATATAAACTCTAGACAGAAGCATTCTCAGAAGCTTCATTGGGATGTTTCAATTGAAGTCACAGTGTTGAACATTCCCTTTCATAGAGCAGGTTTGAAACACTCTTTTTGTAGTATCTGGATGTGGACATTTGGAGCGCTTTCAGGCCTATGGTTTAAAAGGAAATATCTTCCCCTGAAAACTAGACAGAAGCATTCTCAGAAACTTATTTGTGATGTGCGCCCTCAACTAACAGTGTTGAAGCATTCTTTTGATAGAGCAGTTTTGAAACACTCTTTTTGTGGAATCTGCAAGTGGATATTTGTCTAGCTTTGAGGATTTCGTTGGAAACGGGATTACATATAAAAAGCAGACAGCAGCATTCTCAGTAAACTTATTTGTGATGTGCGCCCTCAACTAACAGTGTTGAACCTTTCTTTTGATAGAGCAGTTTTGAAACACTCTTTTTGTAATATCTGCAAGAGGATATTTGGATAGCTTTGAGGATTTCGTTGGAAACGGGATTGTCTTCATATAAACTCTAGACAGAAGCATTCTCAGAAGCTTCATTGGGATGTTTCAATTGAAGCCACAGTGTTGAACAGTCCCTTTCATAGAGCAGGTTTGAAACACTCTTTTTGTAGCATCTGGAAGTGGACATTTGGAGCGTTCTCAGGACTACGGTGCAAAAGGAAATATCTTCCAATAAAAGCTAGATAGAAGCAATGTCAGGAAACATTTTCATGATGTATCTACTCAGCTAACAGAGTTGAACCTTTCTTTTGAGAGAGCAGTTTTGAAACACTCTTTTTGTGGAATCTGCAAGTGGATATTTGTCTAGCTTTGAGGATTTCGTTGGAAACGGGATTACATATAAAAAGCAGACAGCAGCATTCCCAGAAACTTCTTTGTGATGTTTGCATTCAAGTCACAGAGTTGAACATTCCCTTTCATAGAGCAGGTTTGAAACACTCTTTTTGTAGCATCTGGATGTGGACTTTTGGAGCGTTCTCAGGCCTATGGTGAAAAAGGAAATATCTTCTCCTGAAAACTAGACAAAAGCATTCTCAGAATCTTATTTCTGATGTGCGCCCTCAGCTAACAGTGTTGAAGCTTTCTTTTGATAGAGCAGTTTTGAAACAGTCTTTTTGTAAAATCTGCAAGAGGATATTTGGATAGCTTTGAGGATTTCATTGGAAACGGGATTGTCTTCATATAAACTCTAGACAGAAGCATTCTCAGATGCTTCATTGGGATGTTTCAATTGAAGTCACAGTGTTGAACAGTCCCTTTCATAGAGCAGGTTTGAAACACTCTTTTTGTAGTATCTGGATGTGGACATTTGGAGCGCTTTCAGGTCTATGGTGAAAAAGGAAATATCTTCCCCTGAAAACTAGACAGAAGCATTCTCAGAAACTTATTTGTGATGTGCGCCCTCAACTAACAGTGTTGAAGCTTTCTTTTGATAGAGCAGTTTTGAAACACTCTTTTTGTGGAATCTGCAAGTGGATGTTTGTCTAGCTTTGAGGATTTCGTTGGAAACGGGATTACATATATAAAGCAGAGAGCAGCATTCTCAGCAAACTTATTTGTGATGTGCGCCCTCAACTAACAGTGTGGAACTTTTCTTTTGATAGAGCAGTTTTGAAACACTCTTTTTGTAAAATCTGCAAGAGGATATTTGGATAGCTTTGAGGATTTCGTTGGAAACGGGATTGTCTTCATATAGAATCTAGACAGAAGCATTCTCAGAAGCTTCATTGGGATGTTTCAATTGAAGTCACAGTGTTGAACAGTCCCTTTCATAGAGCAGGTTTGAAACACTCTTTTTGTAGTATCTGGAAGTGGACATTTGGAGCGCTCTCAGGACTGCGGTGAAAAAGGAACTATCTTCCAATAAAAGCTAGATAGAAGCAATGTCAGAAACTTTTTCATGATGTATCTACTCAGCTAACAGAGTTGAACCTTCCTTTGAGAGAGCAGTTTTGAAACACTCTTTTTGTGGAATCTGCAAGGGGATATTTGCCTAGCTTTGAGGATTTCGTTGGAAACGGGATTACATATAAAAAGCAGACAGCAGCATTCCCAGAAACTTCTTTGTGATGTTTGCATTCAAGTCACAGAGTTGAACATTCCCTTTCATAGAGCAGGTTTGAAACACTCTTTTTGTAGTATCTGGATGTGGACATTTGCAGCGCTTTCAGGCCTAAGGTGAAAAAGGAAATATCTTCCCCTGAAAACTAGACAAAAGCATTCTCAGAAACTTATTTGTGATGTGCGCCCTCAACTAACAGTGTTGAAGCTTTCTTTTGATAGAGCAGTTTTGAAACACTCTTTTTGTGGAATCTGCAAGTGGATATTTGTCTAGCTTTGAGGATTTCGTTGGAAACGGGATTACATATAAAAAGCAGACAGCAGCATTCTCAGAAACTTATTTGTGATGTGCGCCCTCAACTAACAGTGTTGAAGCTTTATTTTGATAGAGCAGTTTTGAAACACTCTTTTTGTAATATCTGCAAGAGAATATTTGGATAGCTTTGAGGATTTCGTTGGAAACGGGATTGTCTTCATATAAACTCTAGAAAGAAGCATTCTCAGAAGCTTCATTGGGATGTTTCAATTGAAGTCACAGTGTTGAACAGTCCCTTTCATAGAGCAGGTTTGAAACACTTTTTTGTAGTATCTGGAAGTGGACATTTGGAGAGATCTCAGGAATACGGTGATAAAGGAAATATCTTCCAATAAAAGCTAGATAGAAGCAATGTCAGAAACTTTTTCATGATGTATCTACTCAGCTAACAGAGTTGAACCTTTCTTTTGAGAGAGCAGTTTTGAAACACTCTTTTTGTGGAATCTGCAAGTGGATATTTGTCTAGCATTGAGGATTTCGTTGGAAACGGGATTACATATAAAAAGCAGACAGCAGCATTCCCAGAAACTTCTTTGTGATGTTTGCATTCAAGTCACAGAGTTGAACATTCCCTTTCAGAGAGCAGGTTTGAAACACTCTTTTTGTAGTATCTGGATGTGGACATTTGGAGCGCTTTCAGGCCTATGGTGAAAAAGGAAATATCTTCCCCTGAAAACTAGACAGAAAGCATTCTCAGAATCTTATTTGTGATGTGCGCCCTCAACTAACAGTGTTGAAGCTTTCTTTTGATAGAGCAGTTTTGAAACACTCTTTTTGTAAAATCTGCAAGAGGATATTTGGATAGCTTTGAGGATTTCGTTGGAAACGGAATTGTCTTCATATAAACTCTAGACAGAAGCATTCTCAGAAACCTCCTTGGGATGTTAGCGTTCGAGTCACAGAGTTGATCACTCCCTTTAATAGAGCAGGTTTGAAGCACTCTTTTTGTAGTATCTGGAAGTGGACGTTTTGATCGCTTTGAGGCGTAAGGTGAAATAGGAAATATCTTGCCTCAAAAACTACACAGAAGCATTCTCAGAAACTTATTTGTGATGTGCGCCCTCAACTAACAGTGTTGAATCTTTCTTTTGATCGAGGAGTTTTGAAACACTCTTTTTGTGGAATCTGGAAGTGGATATTTCTCTAGCTTTGAGGATTTCGTTGGAAACGGGATTACATATAAAAAGCAGACAGCAGCATTCCCAGAATCTTGTTTGTGATGTTTGCATTCAAGTCACAGAGTTGAACATTCCCTTTCAGATAGCAGGTTTGAAACACTCTTTTTATAGTATCTGGATGTGGACATTTGGAGCGCTTTCAGGCCTATGGTGAAAAAGGAAATATCTTCTCCTGAAAACTAGACAGAAGCATTCTCAGAAACTTATTTGTGATGTGCGCCCTCAACTAACAGTGTTAAACCTTTCTTTTGATAGAGTAGTTTTGAAACACTCTTTTTGTAAAATCTGCAAGAGGATATTTGGATAGCTTTGAGGATTTCGTTGGAAACGGGATTGTCTTCATATAAAATCTAGACAGAAGCATTCTCAGAAGCTTCATTGGGATGTTTCAATTGAAGTCACAGTGTTGAACAGTCCCTTTCATAGAGCAGGTTTGAAACACTCTTTTTGTAGTATCTGGATGTGGACATTTGGAGCGCTTTCAGGCCTATGGTGAAAAAGGAAATATCTTCCCCTGAAAACTAGACAGAAGCATTCTCAGAAACTTATTTGTGATGTGCGCCCTCAACTAACAGTGTTGAAGCTTTCTTTTGATAGAGCAGTTTTGAAACACTCTTTTTGTGGAATCTGCAAGTGGATGTTTGTCTAGCTTTGAGGATTTCGTTGGAAACGGGATTACATATAAAAAGCAGACAGCAGCATTCTCAGAAACTTATTTGTGATGTGCGCCCTCAACTAACAGTGTTGAAGCTTTATTTTGATAGAGCAGTTTTGAAACACTCTTTTTGTAATATCTGCAAGAGAATATTTGGATAGCTTTGAGGATTTCGTTGGAAACGGGATTGTCTTCATATAAACTCTAGAAAGAAGCAATCTCAGAAGCTTCATTGGGATGTTTCAATTGAAGTCACAGTGTTGAACAGTCCCTTTCATAGAGCAGGTTTGAAACACTCTTTTTGTAGTATCTGGAAGTGGACATTTGGAGAGATCTCAGGAATACGGTGATAAAGGAAATATCTTCCAATAAAAGCTAGATAGAAGCAATGTCAGAAACTTTTTCATGATATATCTACTCAGCTAACAGAGTTGAACCTTCCTTTGAGAGAGCAGTTTTGAAACACTCTTTTTGTGGAATCTGCAAGTGGATATTTGTCTAGCTTTGAGGATTTCGTTGGAAACGGGATTACATATAAAAAGCAGCCAGCAGCATTCCCAGAAACTTCTTTGTGATGTTTGCATTCAAGTCACAGAGTTGAACATTCCCTTTCATAGAGCAGGTTTGAAACACTCTTTTTGTAGTATCTGGATGTGGACATTTGGAGCGCTTTCAGGCCTATGGTGAAAAAGGAAATATCTTCCCCTGAAAACTAGACAGAAGCATTCTCAGAATCTTATTTGTGATGTGCGCCCTCAACTAACAGTGTTGAAGCTTTCTTCTGATAGAGCAGTTTTGAAACACTCTTTTTGTAATATCTGCAAGAGGATATTTGGATAGCATCGAGGATTTCGTTGGAAACGGGATTGTCTTCATATAAACTCTAGACAGAAGCATTCTCAGAAGCTTCATTGGGATGTTTCAATTGAAGTCACAGTGTTGAACAGTCCCTTTCATAGAGCAGGTTTGAAACACTCTTTTTGTAGTATCTGGAAGTGGACATTTGGAGCGCTTTCAGGCCTATGGTGAAAAAGGAAATATCTTCCTCTGAAAACTAGACAGAAGCATTCTCAGAAACTTATTTGTGATGTGCGCCCTCAACTAACAGTGTTGAAGCATTCTTTTGATAGAGCAGTTTTGAAACACTCTTTTTGTGGAATCTGCAAGTGGATGTTTGTCTAGCTTTGAGGATTTCGTTGGAAACGGGATTACATATAAAAAGCAGACAGCAGCATTCTCAGAATCTTATTTGTGATGTGCGCCCTCAACTAACAGTGCTGAAGCTTTCTTTTGATAGAGCAGTTTTGAAACACTCTTTTTGTAAAATCTGCAAGAGGATATTTGGATAGCTTTGAGGATTTCGTTGGAAACGGGATTGTCTTCATATAAACTCTAGACAGAAGCATTCTCAGAAGCTTCATTGGGATGTTTCAATTGAAGTCACAGTGTTGAACAGTTCCTTTCATAGAACAGGTTTGAAACACTCTTTTTGTAGTATCTGGAAGTGGACATTTGGAGAGTTCTCAGGAATACGGTGATAAAGGAAATATCTTCCAATAAAAGCTAGATAGAAGCAATGTCAGAAACTTTTTCATGATGTATCTACTCAGCTAACAGAGTTGAACCTTTCTTTTGAGAGAGCAGTTTTGAAACACTCTTTTTGTGGAATCTGCAAGTGGATATTTGTCTAGCTTTGAGGATTTCGTTGGAAACGGGATTACATATAAAAAGCAGACAGCAGCATTCCCAGAATCTTGTTTGTGATGTTTGCATTCAAGTCACAGAGTTGAACATTCCCTTTCAGAGAGCAGGTTTGAAACACTCTTTTTATAGTGTCTGGATTTGGACATTTGGAGCGCTTTCAGGCCTATGGTGAAAAAGGAAATATCTTCTCCTGTAAACTAGACAGAAGCATTCTCAGAAACTTATTTGTGATGTGCGCCGTCAACTAACAGTGTTGAACCTTTCTTTTGATAGAGTAGTTTTGAAACACTCTTTTTGTAAAATCTGCAAGAGGATATTTGGATAGCTTTGAGTATTTCGTTGGAAACGGGATTGTCTTCATATAAACTCTAGACAATAGCATTCTCAGAAGCTTCATTGGGATGTTTCAATTGAAGTCACAGTGTTGAACAGTCCCTTTCATAGAGCAGGTTTGAAACACTCTTTTTGTAGTATCTGGATGTGGACATTTGGAGCGCTTTCAGGCCTATGGTGAAAAAGGAAATATCTTCCCCTGAAAACTAGACAGAAGCATTCTCAGAAACTTATTTGTGATGTGCGCCCTCAACTAACAGTGTTGAAGCTTTCTTTTGATAGAGCAGTTTTGAAACACTCTTTTTGTGGAATCTGCATGTGGATATTTGTCTAGCTTTGAGGATTTCGTTGGAAACGGGATTACATATAAAAAGCAGACAGCAGCATTCTCAGAAACTTATTTGTGATGTGCGCCCTCAACTAACAGTGTTGAAGCTTTCTTTTGATAGAGCAGTTTTGAAACACTCTTTTTGTAATATCTGCAAGAGGATATTTGGATAGCTTTGAGGATTTCGTTGGAAACGGGATTAATTATACAAAGCAGACAGCAGCATTCTCAGAAGCTTCATTGGGATGTTTCAATTGAAGTCACAGTGTTGAACAGTCCCTTTCATAGAGCAGGTTTGAAACACTCTTTTTGTAGTATCTGGAAGTGGACATTTGGAGCGCTCTCAGGACTGCGGTGAAAAAGGAACTATCTTCCAATAAAAGCTAGATAGAAGCAATGTCAGAAAATTTTTCATGATGAATCTACTCAGCTAACAGAGTTGAACCTTTCTTTTGAGAGAGCAGTTTTGAAACACTCTTTTGGTGGAATCTGCAAGTGGATATTTGTCTAGCTTTGAGGATATCGTTGGAAACGGGATTACATATAAAAAGCAGACAGCAGCATTCCCAGAAACTTCTTTGTGATGTTTGCATTCAAGTCACAGAGTTGAACATTCCCTTTCATAGAGCAGGTTTGAAACACTCTTTTTGTAGTATCTGGATGTGGACATTTGGAGTGCTTTCAAGCCTATGGTGAAAAAGGAAATATCTTCCCCTGAAAACTAGACAGAAGCATTCTCAGAATCTTATTTGTGATGTGCGCCCTCAACTAACAGTGTTGAAGCTTTCTTTTGATAGAGCAGTTTTGAAACACTCTTTTTGTAAAATCTGCAAGAAGATATTTGGATAGCTTTGAGGATTTCGTTGGAAACGGGATTGTCTTCATATAAACTCTAGACAGAAGCATTCTCAGAAGCTTCATTGGGATGTTTCAATTGAAGTCACAGTGTTGAACAGTCCCTTTCATAGAGCAGGTTTGAAACACTCTTTTTGTAGTATCTGGAAGTGGACATCTGGAGCGCTCTCAGGACTCCGGTGATAAAGGAAATATCTTCCAATAAAAGCTAGATAGAAGCAATGTCAGAAACTTTTTCATGATGTATCTACTCAGCTAACAGAGTTGAACCTTCCTTTGAGAGAGCAGTTTTGAAACACTCTTTTTGTGGAATCTGCAAGTGGATATTTGTCTAGCTTTGAGGATTGCGTTGGAAACGGGATTACATATAAAAAGCAGACAGCAGCATTCCCAGAAACTTCTTTGTGATGTTTGCATTCAAGTCACACAGTTGAACATTCCCTTTCATAGAGCAGGTTTGAAACACTCTTTTTGTAGTATCTGGATGTGGACATTTGGAGCGCTTTCAGGCCTATGGTGAAAAAGGAAATATCTTCCCCTGAAAACTAGACAGAAGCATTCTCAGAATCTTATTTGTGATGTGCGCCCTCAACTAACAGTGTTGAAGCTTTCTTTTGATAGAGCAGTTTTGAAACACTCTTTTTGTAAAATCTGCAAGAGGATATTTGGATAGCTTTGAGGATTTCGTTGGAAACGGGATTGTCTTCATATAAACTCTAGTCAGAAGCATTCTCAGAAGCTTCATTGGGATGTTTCAATTGAAGTCACAGTGTTGAACAGTCCCTTTCATAGAGCAGGTTTGAAACACTCTTTTTGTAGTATCTGGATGTGGACATTTGGAGCGCTTTCAGGCCTATGGTTTAAAAGGAAATATCTTCCCCTGAAAACTAGACAGAAGCATTCTCAGAAACTTATTTGTGATGTGCCCCCTCAACTAACAGTGTTGAAGCTTTCTTTTGATAGAGCAGTTTTGAAACACTCTTTTTGTGGAATCTGCAAGTGAATATTTGTCTAGCTTTGAGGATTTCGTTGGAAACGGGATTACATATAAAAAGCAGACAGCAGCATTCTCAGTAAACTTATTTGTGATGTGCGCCCTCAACTAACAGTGTTGAACCTTTCTTTTGATAGAGCAGTTTTGAAACACTCTTTTTGTAATATCTGCAAGAGGATATTTGGATAGCTTTGAGGATTTCGTTGGAAACGGGATTGTCTTCATATAAACTCTAGACAGAAGCATTCTCAGAAGCTTCATTGGGATGTTTCAATTGAAGTCACAGTGTTGAACAGCCCCTTTCATTGAGCAGGTTTGAAACACTCTTTTTGTAGTATCTGGAAGTGGACATTTGGTGAGATCTCAGGACTACGGTGGAAAAGGAAATATCTTCCAATAAAAGCTAGATAGAAGCAATGTCAGAAACTTTTTCATGATGTATCTACTCAGCTAACAGAGTTGAACCTTTCTTTTGAGAGAGCAGTTTTGAAACACTCTTTTTGTGGAATCTGCAAGTGGATATTTGTCTAGCTTTGAGGATTTCGTTGGAAACGGGATTACATATAAAAAGCAGACAGCAGCATTCCCAGAATCTTGTTTGTGATGTTTGCATTCAAGTCAGAGTTGAACATTCCCTTTCAGAGAGCAGGTTTGAAACACTCTTTTTATAGTATCTGGATGTGGACATTTGGAGCGCTTTCAGGCCTATGGTGAAAAAGGAAATATCTTCTCCTGAAAACTAGACAGAAGCATTCTCAGAATCTTATTTGTGATGTGCGCCCTCAACTAACAGTGTTGAAGCTTTCTTTTGATAGAGCAGTTTTGAAACACTCTTTTTGTAAAATCTGCAAGAGGATATTTGGATAGCTTTGAGGATTTCGTTGGAAACGGGATTGTCTTCATATAAACTCTAGACAGAAGCATTCTCAGAAGCGTCATTGGGATGTTTCAATTGAAGTCACAGTGTTGAACAGTCCCTTTCATAGAGCAGGTTTGAAACACTCTTTTTGTAGTATCTGGATGTGGACATTTGGAGCGCTTTCAGGCCTATGGTTTAAAAGGAAATATCTTCCCCTGAAAACTAGACAGAAGCATTCTCAGAAACTTATTTGTGATGTGCGCCCTCAACTAACAGTGTTGAACCTTTCTTTTGATAGAGCAGTTTTGAAACACTCTTTTTGTAATATCTGCAAGAGGATATTTGGATAGCTTTGAGGATTTCGTTGGAAACGGGATTACATATAAAAAGCAGACAGCAGCATTCTCAGAAACTTATTTGTGATGTGCGCCCTCAACTAACAGTGTTGAAGCTTTCTTTTGATAGAGCAGTTTTGAAACACTCTTTTTGTAATATCTGCAAGAGGATATTTGGATAGCTTTGAGGATTTCGTTGGAAACGGGATTAATTATACAAAGCAGACAGCAGCATTCTCAGAAGCTTCATTGGGATGTTTCAATTGAAGTCAACAGTGTTGAACAGTCCCTTTCATAGAGCAGGTTTGAAACACTCTTTTTGTAGTATCTGGAAGTGGACATTTGGAACGCTCTCAGGACTGCGGTGAAAAAGGAAATATCTTCCAATAAAAGCTAGATAGAAGCAATGTCAGAAACTTTTTCATGATGTATCTACTCAGCTAACAGAGTTGAACCTTTCTTTTGAGAGAGCAGTTTTGAAACACTCTTTTTGTGGAATCTGCAAGCGGATATTTTTCTAGCTTTGAGGATTTCGTTGGAAACGGGATTACATATAAAAAGCAGACAGCAGCATTCCCAGAAACTTCTTTGTGATGTTTGCATTCAAGTCACAGAGTTGAACATTCCCTTTCATAGAGCAGGTTTGAAACACTCTTCTTGTAGTATCTGGATGTGGACATTTGGAGCGCTTTCAGGCGTATGGTGAAAAATGAAATATCTTCCCCTGAAAACTAGACAGAAGCATTCTCAGAAACTTATTTGTGATGTGCGCCCTCAACTAACAGTGTTGAAGCTTTCTTTTGATAGAGCAGTTTTGAAACACTCTTTTTGTAATATCTGCAAGAGGATATTTGGATAGCTTTGAGGATTTCGTTGGAAACGGGATTGTCTTCATATAAACTCTAGACAGAAGCATTCTCAGAAGCTTCATTGGGATGTTTCAATTGAAGTCACAGTGTTGAACAGTCCCTTTCATAGAGCAGGTTTGAAACACTCTTTTTGTAGTATCTGGAAGTGGACATTTGGAGCGCTTTCAGGCCTATGGTTTAAAAGGAAATATCTTCCCCTGAAAACTAGACAGAAGCATTCTCAGAAACTTATTTGTGATGTGCGCCCTCAACTAACAGTGTTGAAGCTTTCTTTTCATAGAGCAGTTTTGAAAAACTCTTTTTGTGGAATCTGCAAGTGGATATTTGTCTAGCTTTGAGGATTTCGTTGGAAACGTGATTACATATAAAAAGCAGACAGCAGCATTCCCAGAAACTTCTTTGTGATGTTTGCATTCAAGTCACAGAGTTGAACATTCCCTTTCATAGAGCAGGTTTGAAACACTCTTTTTGTAGTATCTGGATGTGGACATTTGGAGCGCTTTCAGGCCTGTGGTGAAAAAGGAAATATCTTCCCCTGAAAACTAGACAGAAGCATTCTCAGAAGCTTCATTGGGATGTTTCAATTGAAGTCACAGTGTTGAACAGTCCCTTTCGTAGAGCAGGTTTGAAACACTCTTTTTGTAATATCTGGAAGTGGACATTTGGAGCGTTCTCAGGACTATGGTGAAAAAGGAAATATCTTCCAATAAAAGCTAGATAGAAGCAATGTCAGAAACTTTTTCATGATGTATCTACTCAGCTAACAGAGTTGAACCTTTCTTTTGAGAGAGCAGTTTTGAAACACTCTTTTTGTGGAATCTGCAAGTGGATATTTTTATAGCTTTGAGGATTTCGTTGGAAACGGGATTACATATAAAAAGCAGACAGCAGCATTCCCAGAATCTTCTTTGTGATGTTTGCATTCAAGTCACAGAGTTGAACATTCCCTTTCATAGAGCAGGTTTGATACACTCTTTTTATAGTATCTGGATGTGGACATTTGGATCGCTTTCAGGCCTATGGTGAAAAAGGAAATATCTTCTCCTGAAAACTAGACAGAAGCATTCTCAGAAACTTATTTGTGATGTGCGCCCTCAACTAACAGTGTTGAACCTTTCTTTTGATAGAGCAGTTTTGAAACACTCTTTTTGTAATATCTGCAAGAGGATATTTGGATAGCTTTGAGGATTTCGTTGGAAACGGGATTGTCTTCATATAAACTCTAGACAGAAGCATTCTCAGAAGCTTCATTGGGATGTTTCAATTGAAGTCACAGTGTTGAACAGTCCCTTTCATAGAGCAGGTTTGAAACACTCTTTTTGTAGTATCTGGATGTGGACATTTCGAGCGCTTTCAGGCCTATGGTGAAAAAGGAAATATCTTCCCCTGAAAACTAGACAGAAGCATTCTCAGAAACTTATTTGTGATGTGCGCCCTCAACTAACAGTGTTGAACCTTTCTTTTGATAGAGCAGTTTTGAAACACTCTTTTTGTAATATCTGCAAGAGGATATTTGGATAGCTTTGAGGATTTCGTTGGAAACGGGATTACATATAAAAAGCAGACAGCAGCATTCTCAGAAAGTTATTTGTGATGTGCGCCCTCAACTAACAGTGTTGAACCTTTCTTTTGATGGAGCAGTTTTGAAACACTCTTTTTGTAATATCTGCAGGAGGATATTTGGATAGCTTTGAGGATTTCGTTGGAAACGGGATTGTCTTCATATAAACTCTAGACAGAAGCATTCTCAGAAGCTTCATTGGGATGTTTCAATTGAAGTCACAGTGTTGAACAGTTCCTTTCATAGAACAGGTTTGAAACACTCTTTTTGTAGTATCTGGAAGTGGACATTTGGAGCGCTCTCAGGACTACGGTGAAAAAGGAAATATCTTCCAATAAAAGCTACATAGAAGCAATGTCAGAAAATTGTTCATGATGTATCTACTCAGCTAACAGAGTTGAACCTTTCTTTTGAGAGAGCAGTTTTGAAACACTCTTTTTGTGGAATCTGCAAGTGGATATTTGTCTAGCTTTGAGGATTGCGTTGGAAACGGGATTACATATAAAAAGCAGACAGCAGCATTCCCAGAAACTTCTTTGTGATATTTGCATTCAACTTCCACAGTTGAACATTCCCTTTCATAGAGCAGGTTTGAAACACTCTTTTTCTAGTATCTGGATGTGGACATTTGGAGCGCTTTCAGGCCTATGGTGAAAAAGGAAATATCTTCCACTGAAAACTAGACAGAAGTAGTCTCAGAAACTTATTTGTGATGTGCGCCCTCAACTAACAGTGTTGAAGCTTTCTTTTGATAGAGCAGTTTTGAAACATTCTTTTTGTAAACTCTGCAAGAGGATATTTGGATAGCTTTGAGGATTTCGTTGGAAACGGGATTGTCTTCATATTAAACCTAGACAGTAGCATTCTCAGAAGCGTCATTGGGATGTTTCAATTGAAGTCACAGTGTTGAACAGTCCCTTTCATAGAGCAGGTTTGAAACACTCTTTTTGTAGTATCTGGATGTGGACATTTGGAGCGCTTTCAGGCCTATGGTTTAAAAGGAAATATCTTCCCTTGAAAACTAGACAGAAGCATTCTCAGAAACTTATTTGTGATGTGCGCCCTCAACTAACAGTGTTGAAGCTTTCTTTTGATAGAGCAGTTTTGAAACACTCTTTTTGTAATATCTGCAAGAGGATATTTGGATAGCTTTGAGGATTTCGTTGGAAACGGGATTAATTATAAAAAAGCAGACAGCAGCATTCTCAGCAAACTTATTTGTGATGTGCGCCCTCAACTAACAGTGTGGAACTTTTCTTTTGATAGAGCAGTTTTGAAACACTCTTTTTGTAAAATCTGCAAGAGGATATTTGGATAGCTTTGAGGATTTCGTTGGAAACGGGATTGTCTTCATATAGAATCTAGACAGAAGCATTCTCAGAAGCTTCATTGGGATGTTTCAATTGAAGTCACAGTGTTGAACAGTCCCTTTCATAGAGCAGGTTTGAAACACTCTTTTTGTAGTATCTGGAAGTGGACATTTGGAGCGCTCTCAGGACTCCGGTGATAAAGGAAATATCTTCCAATAAAAGCTACATAGAAGCAATGTCAGAAACTTTTTCATGATGTATCTACTCAGCTAACAGAGTTGAACCTTTCTTTTGAGAGAGCAGTTTTGAAACACTCTTTTTGTGGAATCTGCAAGTGGATATTTGTCTAGCTTTGAGGATTTCGTTGGAAATGGGATTACATATAAAAAGCAGACAGCAGCATTCCCAGAATCTTCTTTGTGATGTTTGCATTCAAGTCACAGAGTTGAACATTCCCTTTCATAGAGCAGGTTTGAAACACTCTTTTTGTAGTATCTGGATGTGGACATTTGGAGCGCTTTCAGGCCTATGGTGAAAAAGGAAATATCTTCCCCTGAAAACTAGACAGAAGCATTCTCAGAAACTTATTTGTGATGTGCGCCCTCAACTAACAGTGTTGAAGCTTTCTTTTGATAGAGCAGTTTTGAAACACTCTTTTTGTAAAATCTGCAAGAGGATATTTGGATAGCTTTGAGGATTTCGTTGGAAACGGGATTGTCTTCATATACAATCTAGACAGAAGCATTATCAGAAACTTCTTTGTGATGTTTGCATTCAAGTCACAGAGTTGAACATTCCCTTTCATAGAGCAGGTTTGAAACACTCTTTTTGTAGTATCTGGATGTGGACATTTGGAGCGCTTTCAGGCCTATGGTGAAAAAGGAAATATCTTCCCCTAAAAACTAGACAGAAGCATTCTCAGAATCTTATTTGTGATGTGCGCCATCAACTAACAGTGTTGAAGCTTTCTTTTGATAGAGCAGTTTTGAAACACTCTTTCGGTGGAATCTGCAAGTGGATATTTGTCTAGCTTTGAGGATTTCGTTGGAAACGGGATTACATATAAAAAGCAGACAGCAGCATTCCCAGAATCTTCTTTGTGATGTTTGCATTCAAGTCACAGAGTTGAACATTCCCTTTCAGAGAGCAGGTTTGAAACACTCTTTTTATAGTATCTGGATGTGGACATTTGGAGCGCTTTCAGGCCTATGGTGAAAAAGGAAATATCTTCTCCTGAAAACTAGACAGAATCATTCTCAGAAGCTTCATCGGGATGTTTCAATTGAAGTCACAGTGTTGAACAGTCCCTTTCATAGAGCAGATTTGAAACACTCTTTTTGTAGTATCTGGAAGTGGACAATTGGAGCGTTCTCAGGACTACAGTGAAAAAGGAAATATCTTCCAATAAAAGCTAGATAGAAGCAATGTCAGAAAATTTTTCATGATGTGTCTACTCAGCTAACAGGGTTGAACCTTTCTTTTGAGAGAGCAGTTTTGAAACACTCTTTTTGTGGAATCTGCAAGTGGATATTTGTCTAGCTTTGAGGATTGCGTTGGAAACGGGATTACATATAAAAAGCAGACAGCAGCATTCCCAGAAACTTCTTTGTGATATTTGCATTCAAGTCACAGACTTGAACATTCCCTTCCATAGAGCGTGTTTGAAACACTCTTTTTGTAGTATCTGGATGTGGACATTTGGAGCGCTTTCAGGCCTATGGTGAAAAAGGAAATATCTTCCTCTGAAAACTAGACAGTAGCATTCTCAGAAACTTATTTGTGATGTGCGCCCTCAACTAACAGTGTTAAACCTTTCTTTTGATAGAGTAGTTTTGAAACACTCTTTTTGTAAAATCTGCAAGAGGATATTTGGATAGCTTTGAGGATTTCGTTGGAAACAGGATTGTCTTCATATAAACTCTAGACAGTAGCACTCTCGGAAGCTTCATTGGGATGTTTCAATTGAAGTCACAGTGTTGAACAGTCCCTTTCATAGAGCAGGTTTGAAACACTCTTTTTGTAGTATCTGGATGTGGACATTTGGAGCGCTTTCAGGCCTAAGGTGAAAAAGGAAGTATCTTCCCCTGAAAACTAGACAGAAGCATTCTCAGAAACTTATTTGTGATGTGCGCCCTCAACTAACAGTGTTGAAGCTTTCTTTTGATAGAGCAGTTTTGAAACACTCTTTTTGTAATATCTGCAAGAGGATATTTGGATAGCTTTGAGGATTTCGTTGGAAACGGGATTACATATAAAAAGCAGACAGCAGCATTCTCAGTAAACTTATTTGTGATGTGCGCCCTCAACTAACAGTGTTGAACCTTTCTTTTGATAGAGCAGTTTTGAAACACTCTTTTTGTAATATCTGCAAGAGGATATTTGGATAGCTTTGAGGATTTCGTTGGAAACGGGATTGTCTTCATATAAACTCTAGACAGAAGCATTCTCAGAAGCTTCATTGGGATGTTTCAATTGAAGTCACAGTGTTGAACAGTCCCTTTCATAGAGCAGGTTTGAAACACTCTTTTTGTAGTATCTGGAAGTGGACATTTGGAGAGATCTCAGGAATAAGGTGATAAAGGAAATATCTTCCAATAAAAGCTAGATAGAAGCAATGTCAGAAACTTTTTCATGATGTATCTACTCAGCTAACAGAGTTGAACGTTTCTTTTGAGAGAGCAGTTTTGAAACACTCTTTTTGTGGAATCTGCAAGTGGATATTTGTCTAGCTTTGAGGATTTCGTTGGAAACGGGATTACATATAAAAAGCAGACAGCAGCATTCCCAGTAACTTCTTTGTGATGTTTGCATTCAAGTCACAGAGTTGAACATTCCCTTTCATAGAGCAGGTTTGAAACACTTTTTTTGTAGTATCTGGATGTGGACATTTGGAGCGCTTTCAGGCCTATGGTGAAAAAGGAAATATCTTCCAATAAAAGCTACATAGAAGCAATGTCAGAAACTTTTTCATGATGTATCTACTCAGCTAACAGAGTTGAACTTTTCTTTTGAGAGAGCAGTTTTGAAACACTCTTTTTGTGTAATCTGAAAGTGGATATTTGTCTAGCTTTGAGGATTTCGTTGGAAACGGGATTACATATAAAAAGCAGACAGCAGCATTCCCAGAAACTTCTTTGTGATGTTTGCATTCAAGTCACAGAGTTGAACATTCCCTTTCATAGAGCAGGTTTGAAACACTCTTTTTGTAGTATCTGGATGTGGACATTTGGAGCGCTTTCAGGCCTATGGTGAAAAAGGAAATATCTTCCCCTGAAAACTAGACAGAAGCATTCTCAGAATCTTATTTGTGATGTGCGCCCTCAACTAACAGTGTTGAAGCTTTTTTTTGATAGAGCAGTTTTGAAACACTCTTTTTGTAAAATTTGTAAGAGGATATTAGGATAGCTTTGAGGATTTCGTTGGAAACGGGATTGTCTTCATATAAACTCTAGACAGAAGCATTCCCAGAAACTTCTTTGTGATGTTTGCATTCAAGTCACAGAGTTGAACATTCCCTTTCATGGAGCAGGTTTGAAACACTCTTTTTGTAGTATCTGGAAGTGGACATTTGGAGCGCTCTCAGGACTACGGTGAAAAAGGAAATATCTTCCAATAAAAGCTAGATAGAAGCAATGTCAGAAACATTTTCATGATGTATCTACTCAGCTAACAGAGTTGAACCTTTCTTTTGAGAGAGCAGTTTTGAAACACTCTTTTGGTGGAATCTGCAAGTGGATATTTGTCTAGCTTTGAGGATTTCGTTGGAAACGGGATTACATATAAAAAGCAGACAGCAGCATTCCCAAAATCTTCTTTGTGATGTTTGCATTCAAGTCACAGAGTTGAACATTCCCTTTCATAGAGCAGGTTTGAAACACTCTTTTTATAGTATCTGGATGTGGACATTTGGAGCGCTTTCAGGCCTATGGTGAAAAAGGAAATATCTTCTCCTGAAAACTAGACAGAAGCATTCTCAGAATCTTATTTGTGATGTGCGTCCTCAACTAACAGTGTTGAAGCTTTCTTTTGATAGAGCAGTTTTGAAACACTCTTTTCGTAAAATCTGCAAGAGGATATTTTGATAGCTTTGAGGATTTCGTTGGAAACGGGATTGTCTTCATATAAACTCTAGACAGAAGCATTCTCAGAAGCTTCATTGGGATGTTTCAATTGAAGTCACAGTGTTGAACAGTCCCTTTCATAGAGCAGGTTTGAAACACTCTTTTTGTAGTATCTGGATGTGGACATTTCGAGCGCTTTCAGGCCTATGGTGAAAAAGGAAATATCTTCCCCTGAAAACTAGACAGAAGCATTCTCAGAAACTTATTTGTGATGTGCGCCCTCAACTAACAGTGTTGAAGCTTTCTTTTGATAGAGCAGTTTTGAAACACTCTTTTTGTGGAATCTGCAAGTGGATATTTGTCTAGCTTTGAGGATTTCGTTGGAAACGGGATTACATATAAAAAGCAGACAGCAGCATTCTCAGTAAACTTATTTGTGATGTGCGCCCTCAACTAACAGTGTTGAACCTTTCTTTTGATAGAGCAGTTTTGAAACACTCTTTTTGTAATATCTGCAAGAGGATATTTGGATAGCTTTGAGGATTTCGTTGGAAACGGGATTGTCTTCATATAAACTCTAGACAGAAGCATTCTCAGAAGCTTCATTGGGATGTTTCAATTGAAGTCACAGTGTTCAACAGTTCCTTTCATAGAACAGGTTTGAAACACTCTTTTTGTAGTATCTGGAAGTGGACATTTGGAGCGCTCTCAGGACTATGGTGAAAAAGGAAATATCTTCCAATAAAAGCTACATAGAAGCAATGTCAGAAACTTTTTCATGATGTATCTACTCAGCTAACAGAGTTGAACCTTCCTTTGAGAGAGCAGTTTTGAAACACTCTTTTTGTGGAATCTGCAAGTGGATATTTGTCTAGCTTTGAGGATTTCGTTGGAAACGAGATTACATATAAAAAGCAGACAGCAGCATTCCCAGAATCTTGTTTGTGATGTTTGCATTCAAGTCACAGAGTTGAACATTCCCTTTCAGAGAGCAGGTTTGAAACACTCTTTTTATAGTATCTGGATGTGGACATTTGGAGCGCTTTCAGGCCTATGGTGAAAAAGGAAATATCTTCTCCTGAAAACTAGACAGAAGCATTCTCAGAAACTTATTTGTGATGTGCGCCCTCAACTAACAGTGTTGAACCTTTCTTTTGATAGAGCAGTTTTGAAACACTCTTTTTGTAAAATCTGCAAGAGGATATTTGGATAGCTTTGAGGATTTCGTTGGAAACGGGATTGTCTTCATATAAACTCTAGACAGAAGCATTCTCAGAAGCGTCATTGGGATGTTTGAATTGAAGTCACAGTGTTGAACAGTCCCTTTCATAGAGCAGGTTTGAAACACTCTTTTTGTAGTATCTGGATGTGGACATTTGGAGCGCTTTCAGGCCTATGGTTTAAAAGGAAATATCTTCCCCTGAAAACTAGACAGAAGCATTCTCAGAAACTTATTTGTGATGTGCGCTCTCAACTAACAGTGTTGAAGCATTCTTTTGATAGAGCAGTTTTGAAACACTCTTTTTGTGGAATCTGCAAGTGGATATTTGTCTAGCTTTGAGGATTTCGTTGGAAACGGGATTACATATAAAAAGCAGACAGCAGCATTCTCAGAAACTTATTTGTGATGTGCGCCCTCAACTAACAGTGTTGAAGCTTTCTTTTGATAGAGCAGTTTTGAAACACTCTTTTTGTAAAATCTGCAAGAGGATATTTGGATAGCTTTGAGGATTTCGTTGGAAACGGGATTGTCTTCATATAAACTCTACACAGAAGCATTCTCAGAAGCTTCATTGGGATGTTTCAATTGAAGTCACAGTGTTGAACAGTCCCTTTCATAGAGCAGGTTTGAAACACTCTTTTTGTAGTATCTGGAAGTGGACATTTGGAACGCTCTCAGGACTGCGGTGAAAAAGGAAATATCTTCCAATAAAATCTAGATAGAAGCAATGTGAGAAACTTTTTCATGATGTATCTACTCAGCTAAAAGAGTTGAACCTTTCTTTTGAGAGAGCAGTTTTGAAACACTCTTTTTGTGGAATCTGCAAGTGGATATTTGTCTAGCTTTGAGGACTTCTTTGGAAAGGGGATTACATATAAAAAGCAGACAGCAGCATTCCCAGTAACTTCTTTGTGATGTTTGCATTCAAGTCACAGAGTTGAACATTCCCTTTCATAGAGCAGGTTTGAAACACTCTTTTTGTAGTATCTGGATGTGGACATTTGGAGCGCTTTCAGGCCTATGGTGTAAAAGGAAATATCTTCCCCTGAAAACTAGACAGAAGCATTCTCAGAATCTTATTTGTGATGTGCGCCCTCAACTAACAGTGTTGAAGCTTTCTTTTGATAGAGCAGTTTTGAAACACACTTTTTGTAAAATCTGCAAGAGTATATTTGGATAGCTTTGAGGATTTCGTTGGAAACGGGATTGTCTTCATATAAACTCTAGACAGAAGCATTCTCAGAAGCCTCATTGGGATGTTTCAATTGAAGTCACAGTGTTGAACAGTCCCTTTCATAGAGCAGATTTGAAACACTCTTTTTGTAGTATCTGGATGTGGACATTTGGAGCGCTTTCAGGCCTATGGTTTAAAAGGAAATATCTTCCCCTGAAAACTAGACAGAAGCATTCTCAGAAACTTATTTGTGATGTGCGCCCTCAACTAACAGTGTTGAAGCTTTCTTTTGATAGAGCAGTTTTGAAACACTCTTTTTGTGGAATCTGCAAGTGGATATTTGTCTAGCTTTGAGGATTTCGTTGGAAACGGGATTACATATAAAAAGCAGACAGCAGTAGTCTCAGAAACTTATTTGTGATGTGCGCCCTCAACTAACAGTGTTGAACCTTTCTTTTGATAGAGCAGTTTTGAAACACTCTTTTGTAAAATCTGCAAGAGGATATTTGGATAGCTTTGAGGATTTCGTTGGAAACGGGATTGTCTTCATATAGAATCTAGACAGAAGCATTCTCAGAAGCTTCATTGGGATGTTTCAATTGAAGTCACAGTGTTGAACAGTACCTTTCATAGAGCAGGTTTGAAACACTCTTTTTGTAGTATCTGGAAGTGGACATTTGGAGCGTTCTCAGGACTACAGTGAAAAAGGAAATATCTTCCAATAAAAGCTAGATAGAAGCAATGTCAGAAAATTGTTCATGATGTATCTACTCAGCTAACAGAGTTGAACCTTTCTTTTGAGACAGCAGTTTTGAAACACTCTTTTGGTGGAATCTGCAAGTGGATATTTGTTTAGCTTTGAGGATTTCGTTGGAAACGGGATTACATATAAAAAGCAGACAGCAGCATTCCCAGAAACTTCTTTGTGATGTTTGCATTCAAGTCACAGAGTTGAACATTCCCTTTCATAGAGCAGGTTTGAAACACTCTTTTTGTAGTATCTGGATGTGGACATTTGGAGCGCTTTCAGGCCTATGGTGAAAAAGGAAATATCTTCCCCTGAAAACTAGACAGAAGCATTCTCAGAATCTTATTTGTGATGTGCGCCCTCAACTAACAGTGTTGAAGCTTTCTTTTGATAGAGCAGTTTTGAAACACTCTTTTTGTAAAATCTGCAAGAGGATATTTGGATAGCTTTGAAGATTTCATTGGAAACGGGACTGTCTTCATATAAACTCTAGACAGAAGCATTCTCAGAAGCTTCATTGGGATGTTTCAATTGAAGTCACAGTGTTGAACAGTCCCTTTCATAGAGCAGGTTTGAAACACTCTTTTTGTAGTATCTGGATGTGGACATTTCGAGCGCTTTCAGGCCTATGGTGAAAAAGGAAATATCTTCCCCTGAAAACTAGACAGAAGCATTCTCAGAAACTTATTTGTGATGTGCGCCCTCAACCAACAGTGTTGAAGCTTTCTTTTGACAGAGCAGTTTTGAAACACTCTTTTTGTGGAATCTGCAAGTGGATATTTGTCTAGCTTTGAGGATTTCGTTGGAAACGGGATTACATATAAAAAGCAGACAGCAGCATTCTCAGAAACTTATTTGTGATGTGCGCCCTCAACTAACAGTGTTGAACCTTTCTTTTGATAGAGCAGTTTTGAAACACTCTTTTTGTAAAATCTGCAAGAGGATATTTGGATAGATTTGAGGATTTCGTTGGAAACGGGATTGTCTTCATATAGAATCTAGACAGAAGCATTCTCAGAAGCTTCATTGGGATGTTTCAATTGAAGTCACAGTGTTGAACAGTCCCTTTCATAGAGCACGTTTGAAACAATCTTTTTGTAGTATCTGGAAGTGGACATTTGGAGCGTTCTCAGGACTACGGTGAAAAAGGAAATATCTTCCAAATAAAGCTAGATAGAAGCAATGTCAGAAACTTTTTCATGACGTATCTACTCAGCTAACAGAGTTGAACCTTTCTTTTGAGAGAGCAGTTTTGAAACACTCTTTTTGTGGAATCTGCAAGTGGATATTTGTCTAGCTTTGAGGATTGCGTTTGAAACGGGATTACATATAAAAAGCAGACAGCAGCATTCCCAGAAACTTCTTTGTGATGTTTGCATTCAAGTCACAGAGTTGAACATTCCCTTTCATAGAGCAGGTTTGAAACACTCTTTTTGTAGTATGTGGATGTGGACATTTGGAGCGCTTTCAGGCCTATGGTGAAAAAGGAAATATCTTCCCCTGAAAACTAGACAGAAGCATTCTCAGAAACTTATTTGTGGTGTGCGCCCTCAACTAACAGTGTTGAAGCTTTCTTTTGATAGAGCAGTTTTGAAACACTCTTTTTGAAAAATCTGCAAGAGGATATTTGGATAGCTTTGAGGATTTCGTTGGAAACGGGATTGTCTTCATATACAATCTAGACAGAAGCATTCTCAGAAGCTTCATTGGGATGTTTCAATTGAAGTCACAGTGTTGAACAGTCCCTTTCATAGAGCAGGTTTGAAAAACTCTTTTTGTAGTATCTGGATGTGGACATTTAGAGCGCTTTCAGGCCTATGGTGAAAAAGGAAATATCTTCCCCTGAAAACTAGACAGAAGCATTCTCAGAAACTTATTTGTGATGTGCGCCCTCAACTAACAGTGTTGAAGCTTTCTTTTGATAGAGCAGTTTTGAAACACTCTTTTTGTGGAATCTGCAAGTGGATATTTGTCTAGCTTTGAGGATTTCGTTGGAAACGGGATTACATATAAAAAGCAGACAGCAGCATTCTCAGAAACTTATTTGTGATGTGCGCCCTCAACTAACAGTGTTGAAGCTTTCTTTTGATAGAGCAGTTTTGAAACACTCTTTTTGTAATATCTGCAAGAGGATATTTGGATAGCTTTGAGGATTTCGTTGGAAACGGGATTAATTATACAAAGCAGACAGCAGCATTCTCAGAAGCTTCATTGGGATGTTTCAATTGAAGTCACAGTGTTGAACAGTCCCTTTCATAGAGCAGGTTTGAAACACTCTTTTTGTAGTATCTGGAAGTGGACATTTGGAGCGCGCTCAGGACTGCGGTGAAAAAGGAAATATCTTCCAATAAAAGCTAGATAGAAGCAATGTCAGAAACTTTTTCATGATGTATCTACTCAGCTAACAGAGTTGAACCTTCCTTTGAGAGACCAGTTTTGAAACACTCTTTTTGTGGAATCTGCAAGTGGATATTGTCTAGCTTTGAGGATTTCGTTGTAAACGGGATTACATATAAAAAGCAGACAGCAGCATTCCCAGAAAACTTCTTTGTGATGTTTGCATTCAAGTCACAGATTTGAACATTCCCTTTCATAGAGCAGGTTTGAAACACACTTTTTGTAGTATCTGTATGTGGACATTTGGAGCGCTTTCAGGCCTATGGTGAAAAAGGAAATATCTTCCCCTGAAAACTAGACAGAAGCATTCTCACAATCTTATTTGTGATGTGCACCCTCAACTAACAGTGTTGAAGCTTTCTTTTGATAGAGCAGTTTTGAAACACTCTTTTCGTAAAATCTGCAAGAGGATATTTGGATAGCTTTGAGGATTTCGTTGGAAACGGGATTGTCTTCATATAAACTTTAGACAGAAGCATTCTCAGAAGCTTCATTGGGATGTTTCAATTGAAGTCACAGTGTTGAACAGTCCCTTTCATAGAGCAGGTTTGAAACACTCTTTTTGTAGTATCTGGATGTGGACATTTGGAGCGCTTTCAGGCCTATGGTGAAAAAGGAAATATCTTCCCCTGAAAACTAGACAGAAGCATTCTCAGAAACTTATTTGTGATGTGCGCCCTCAACTAACAGTGTTGAACCTTTCTTTTGATAGAGCAGTTTTGAAACACTCTTTTTGTAAAATCTGCAAGAGGATATTTGTCTAGCTTTGAGGATTTCGTTGGAAACGGGATTATATAAAAAGCAGACAGCAGCATTCTCAGAAACTTATTTGTGATGTGCGCCCTCAACTAACAGTGTTGAAGCTTTCTTTTGATAGAGCAGTTTTGAAACACTCTTTTTGTAATATCTGCAAGAGGATATTTGGATAGCTTTGAGGATTTCGTTGGAAACGGGATTAATTATACAAAGCAGACAGCAGCATTCTCAGAAGCTTCATTGGGATGTTTCAATTGAAGTCACAGTGTTGAACAGTCCCTTTCATAGAGCAGGTTTGAAACACTCTTTTTGTAGTATCTGGAAGTGGACATTTGGAACGCTCTCAGGACTGCGGTGAAAAAGGAAATATCTTCCAATAAAAGCTAGATAGAAGCAATGTCAGAAACTTTTTCATGATGTATCTACTCAGCTAACAGAGTTGAACCTTCATTTGAGAGAGCAGTTTTGAAACACTCGTTTTGTGGAATCTGCAAGTGGATACTTGTCTAGCTTTGAGGATTTCGTTGGAAACGGGATTACATATAAAAAGCAGACAGCAGCATTCCCAGCAAACTACTTTGTGATGTTTGCATTCAAGTCACAGACTTGAACATTCCCTTTCATAGAGCAGGTTTGAAACACTCTTTTTGTAGTATCTGGATGTGGACATTTGGAGCGCTTTCAGGCCTATGGTGAAAAAGGAAGTATCTTCCCCTGAAAACTAGACAGAAGAATTCTCAGAAACTTATTTGTGATGTGCGCCCTCAACTAACAGTGTTGAACCTTTCTTTTGATAGAGCAGTTTTGAAACACTCTTTTTGTAATATCTGCAAGAGGATATTTGGATAGCTTTGAGGATTTCGTTGGAAACGGGATTGTCTTCATATAAACTCAAGACAGAAGCATTCTCAGAAGCTTCATTGGGAAGTTTCAATTGAAGTCACAGTGTTGAACAGTCCCTTTCATAGAGCAGGTTTGAAACACTCTTTTTGTAGTATCTGGAAGTGGACATTTGGAGAGATCTCAGGAATACGGTGATAAAGGAAATATCTTCCAATAAAAGCTAGATAGAAGCAATGTCAGAAACTTTTTCATGATGTATCTACTCAGCTAACAGCAGTTGAACCTTTCTTTTGAGACAGCAGTTTTGAAACACTCTTTTTGTGGAATCTGGAAGTGGATATTTGTCTAGCTTTGAGGATTTCGTTGGAAACGGGATTACATATAAAAAGCAGACAGCAGCATTCCCAGAAACTTCTTTGTGATGTTTGCATTCAAGTCACAGAGTTGAACATTCCCTTTCATAGAGCAGGTTTGAAACACTGTTTTTGTAGTATGTGGATGTGGACATTTGGAGCGCTTTCAGGCCTATGGTGAAAAAGGAAATATCTTCCCCTGAAAACTAGACAGAAGCATTCTCAGAATCTTATTTGTGATGTGCGCCCTCAACTAACAGTGTTGAAGCTTTCTTTTGATAGAGCAGTTTTGAAACACTCTTTTTGTAAAATCTGCAAGAGGATATTTGGATAGCTTTGAGGATTTGGTTGGAAACGGGATTGTCTTCATATAAACTCTAGACAGAAGCATTCTCAGAAGCTTCATTGGGATGTTTCAATTGAAGTCACAGTGTTGAACAGTCCCTTTCATAGAGCAGGTTTGAAACACTCTTTTTGTAGTATCTGGATGTGGACATTTGGAGCGCTTTCAGGCCTATGGTTTAAAAGGAAATATCTTCCCCTGAAAACTAGACAGAAGCATTCTCAGAAACTTATTTGTGATGTGCGCCCTCAACTAACAGTGTTGAACCTTTCTTTTGATAGAGCAGTTTTGAAACACTCTTTTTGTAATATCTGCAAGAGGATATTTGGATAGCTTTGAGGATTTCGTTGGAAACGGGATTACTTATAAAAAGCAGACAGCAGCATTCTCAGAAACTTATTTGTGATGTGCGCCCTCAACTAACAGTGTTGAAGCTTTCTTTTGATAGAGCAGTTTTGAAACACTCTTTTTGTAATATCTGCAAGAGGATATTTGGATAGCTTTGAGGATTTCGTTGGAAACGGGATTAATTATACAAAGCAGACAGCAGCATTCTCAGAAATTTCTTTGGGATGTTTCAATTGAAGTCACAGTGTTGAACATTCCCTTTGTTAGAGCAGGTTTGAAACACTCTTCTTGTAGTATCTGGAAGTGGACATTTGGAGCGCTCTCAGGACTACCGTGAAAAAGGAAATATCTTCCAATGAAAGCTAGATAGAAGCAATGTCAGAAACTTTTTTATGATGTATCTGCTCAGCTAACAGAGTTGAACCTTTCTTTTGAGAGAGCAGCTTTGAAGCACTCTTTTTGTGGAATATGCAAGTGGATATTTGTCTAGCTTTGAGGATTTCGTTGGAAACGGGATTACATATAAAAAGCCGACAGCAGCATTCCCAGAAACTTCTTTGTGATGTTTGCATTCAAGTCACAGAGTTGAACATTCCCTTTCATAGAGCAGGTTTGAAACACTCTTTTTGTAGTATCTGGATGTGGACATTTGGAGCGCTTTCAGGCCTATGGTGAAAAAGGAAATATCTTCCCCTGAAAACTAGACAGAAGCATTCTCAGAAACTTATTTTGATGTGCGCCCTCAAGTAACAGTGTTGAACATTTCTTTTGATAGAGCAGTTTTGAAACACTCTTTTTGTAGAATCTGCAAGTGGATATTTGGATAGCCTAGAGGATTTCGTTGGAAACGGGAATATGTCCATACAAAACCTAGACAGAAGCATTCTCAGAAACGTATTTGTGATGTGCGCCCTCAACTAACAGTGTTGAACCTTTCTTTTGATAGAGCAGATTTGAAACACTCTTTTTGTAATATCTGCAAGAGGATATTTGGATAGCTTTGAGGATTTCTTTGGAAACGGTATTGTCTTCATATAAACTCTAGACAGAAGCATTCTCAGAAGCTTCATTGGGATGTTTCAATTGAAGTCACAGTGTTGAACAGTCCCTTTCATAGAGCATGTTTGAAACAATCTTTTTGTAGTATCTGGAAGTGGACATTTGGAGCGCTCTCAGGACTACGGTGAAAAAGGAAATATCTTCCAAATAAAGCTAGATAGAAGCAATGTCAGAAAATTTTTCATGATGTATCTATTCAGCTAACAGAGTTGAACCTTTCTTTTGACAGAGCAGTTTTGAAACACTCTTTTTGTGGAATCTGCAAGTGGATATTTGTCTAGCTTTGAGGATTTCGTTGGAAACGGGATTACATATAAAAAGCAGACAGCAGCATTCCCAGTAACTTCTTTGTGATGTTTGCATTCAAGTCACAGAGTTGAACATTCCCTTTCATAGAGAAGGTTTGAAACACTCTTTTTGTAGTATCTGTATGTGGACATTTGGAGCGCTTTCAGGCCTATGGTGAAAAAGGAAATATCTTCCCCTGAAAACTAGACAGAAGCATTCTCAGAAACTTATTTGTGATGTGCGCCCTCAACTAACAGTGTTGAAGCTTTCTTTTGATAGAGCAGTTTTGAAACACTCTTTTTGTAAAATCTGCAAGAGGATATTTGGATAGCTTTGTGGATTTCGTTGGAAACGGGATTGTCTTCATATACAATCTAGACAGAAGCATTCTCAGAAGCGTCATTGGGATGTTTCAATTGAAGTCACAGTGTTGAACAGTCCCTTTCATAGAGCAGGTTTGAAACACTCTTTTTGTAGTATCTGGATGTGGACATTTGGAGCGCTTTCAGGCCTATGGTTTAAAAGGAAATATCTTCCCCTGAAAACTAGACAGAAGCATTCTCAGAAACTTATTTGTGATGTGCGCCCTCAACTAACAGTGTTGAAGCTTTCTTTTGATAGAGCAGTTTTGAAACACTCTTTTTGTGGAATCTGCAAGTGGATATTTGTCTAGCTTTGAGGATTTCGTTGGAAACGGGATTACATATAAAAAGCAGACAGCAGCATTCTCAGTAAACTTATTTGTGATGTGCGCCCTCAACTAACAGTGTTGAACCTTTCTTTTGATAGAGCAGTTTTGAAACACTCTTTTTGTAATATCTGCAAGAGGATATTTGGATAGCTTTGAGGATTTCGTTGGAAACGGGATTGTCTTCATATAAACTCTAGACAGAAGCATTCTCAGAAGCTTCATTGGGATGTTTCAATTGAAGTCACAGTGTTGAACAGTCCCTTTCATAGAGCAGGTTTGAAACACTCTTTTTGTAGTATCTGGAAGTGGACATTTGGAGCGCTCTCAGGACTACGGTGAAAAAGGAAATATCTTCCAATAAAAGCTACATAGAAGCAATGTCAGAAACTTTTTCATGATGTATCTACTCAGCTAACAGAGTTGAACCTTTCTTTTGAGAGAGCAGTTTTGAAACACTCTTTTTGTGGAATCTGCAAGTGGATATTTGTCTAGCTTTGAGGATTTCGTTGGAAACGGGATTACATATAAAAAGCAGACAGCAGCATTCCCAGTAACTTCTTTGTGATGTTTGCATTCAAGTCACAGAGTTGAACATTCCCTTTCATAGAGCAGGTTTGAAACACTCTTTTTGTAGTATCTGGATGTGGACATTTGGAGCGCTTTCAGGCCTATGGTGAAAAAGGAAATATCTTCCCCTGAAAACTAGACAGACGCATTCTCAGAAACTTATTTGTGATGTGCGCCCTCAACTAACAGTGTTGAAGCTTTCTTTTGATAGAGCAGTTTTGAAACACTCTTTTTGTAATATCTGCAAGAGGATATTTGGATAGCTTTGAGGATTTCGTTGGAAACGGGATTGTCTTCATATAAACTCTAGACTGAAGCATTCCCAGAAACTTCTTTGTGATGTTTGCATTCAAGTCACAGAGTTGAACATTCCCTTTCATAGAGCAGGTTTGAAACACTCTGTTTGTAGTATCTGGATGTGGACATTTGGAGCGCTCTCAGGCCTATGGTGAAAAAGGAAATATCTTCCCCTGAAAACTAGACAGAAGCATTCTCAGAAACTTATTTGTGATGTGCGCCCTCAACTAACAGTGTTGAACCTTTCTTTTGATAGAGCAGTTTTGAAACACTCTTTTTGTAATATCTGCAAGAGGATATTTGGATAGCTTTGAGGATTTCGTTGGAAACGGGATTACATATAAAAAGCAGACAGCAGCATTCTCAGTAAACTTATTTGTGATGTGCGCCCTCAACTAACAGTGTTGAACCTTTCTTTTGATAGAGCAGTTTTGAAACACTCTTTTTGTAATATCTGCAAGAGGATATTTGGATAGCTTTGAGGATTTCGTTGGAAACGGGATTGTCTTCATATAAACTCTAGACAGAAGCATTCTCAGAAGCTTCATTGGGATGTTTCAGTTGAAGTCACAGTGTTGAACAGTCCCTTTCATAGAGCAGGTTTGAAACACTCTTTTTGTAGTATCTGGAAGTTGACATTTGGAGCGCTCTCAGGACTACGGTGAAAAAGGAAATGTCTTCCAATAAAAGCTAGATAGAAGCAATGTCAGAAACTTTTTCATGATGTATCTACTCAGCTAACAGAGTTGAACCTTTCTTTTGAGAGAGCAGTTTTGAAACACTCTTTTTGTGGAATCTGGAAGTGGATATTTGTCTAGCTTTGAGGATTTCGTTGGAAACGGGATTACATATAAAAAGCAGACAGCAGCATTCCCAGTAATCTTCTTTGTGATGTTTGCATTCAAGTCACAGAGTTGAACATTCCCTTTCATAGAGCAGGTTTGAAACACTCTTTTTGTAGTATCTGGATGTGGACATTTGGAGCGCTTTCAGGCCTATGGTGAAAAAGGAAATATCTTCCCCTGAAAACTAGACAGAAGAATTCTCAGAATCTTATTTGTGATGTGCGCCCTCAACTAACAGTGTTGAAGCTTTCTTTTGATAGAGCAGTTTTGAAACACTCTTTTTGTAAAATCTGCAAGAGGATATTTGGATAGCTTTGAGGATTTCGTTGGAAACGGGATTGTCTTCATATTAACTCTAGACAGAAGCATTCTCAGAAGCTTCATTGGGATGTTTCAATTGAAGTCACAGTGTTGAACAGTCCCTTTCATAGAGCAGGTTTGAAACACTCTTTTTGTAGTATCTGGATGTGGACATTTGGAGCGCTTTCAGGCCTATGGTGAAAAAGGAAATATCTTCCCCTGAAAACTAGACAGAAGCATTCTCAGAAACTTATTTGTGATGTGCGCCCTCAACTAACAGTGTTGAAGCATTCTTTTGATAGAGCAGTTTTGAAACACTCTTTTTGTGGAATCTGCAAGTGGATATTTGTCTAGCTTTGAGGATTTCGTTGGAAACGGGATTACATATAAAAAGCAGACAGCAGCATTCTCAGTAAACTTATTTGTGATGTGCGCCCTCAACTAACAGTGTTGAACCTTTCTTTTGATAGAGCAGTTTTGAAACACTCTTTTTGTAATATCTGCAAGAGGATATTTGGATAGCTTTGAGGATTTCGTTGGAAACGGGATTGTCTTCATATAAACTCTAGACAGAAGCATTCTCAGAAGCTTCATTGGGAGGTTTCAATTGAAGTCACAGTGTTGAACAGTCCCTTTCATAGAGCAGGTTTGAAACACTCTTTTTGTAGTATCTGGAAGTGGACATTTGGAGCGCTCTCAGGACTACGGTGATAAAGGAAATATCTTCCAATAAAAGCTAGATAGAAGCAATGTCAGAAACTTTTTCATGATGTATCTACTCAGCTAACAGAGTTGAACCTTTCTTTTGAGAGAGCAGTTTTGAAACACTCTTTTTGTGGAATCTGCAAGTGGATATTTGTCTAGCTTTGAGGATTTCGTTGGAAACGGGTTTACATATAAAAAGCAGACAGCAGCATTCCCAGAAACTTCTTTGTGATGTTTGCATTCAAGTCACAGAGTTGAACATTCCCTTTCATAGAGCAGGTTTGAAACACTCTTTTTGTAGTATCTGGATTTGGACATTTGGAGCCCTTTCAGGCCTATGGTGAAAACGGAAATATCTTCCACTGAAAACTAGACAGAAGTATTCTCAGAAACTTATTTGTGATGTGCGCCCTCAACTAACAGTGTTGAAGCTTTCTTTTGATAGAGCAGTTTTGAAATATTCTTTTTGTAAAATCTGCAAGAAGATATTTGGATAGCTTTGAGGATTTCGTTGGAAACGGGATTGTCTTCATGTTAACCCTAGACAGTAGCATTCTCAGAAGCTTCATTGGGATGTTTCAATTGAAGTCACAGTGTTGAACAGTCCCTTTCATAGAGCAGGTTTGAAACACTCTTTTTGTAGTATCTGGATGTGGACATTTAGAGCGCTTTCAGGCCTATGGTGAAAAAGGAAATATCTTCCCCTGAAAACTAGACAGAAGCATTCTCAGAAACTTATTTGTGATGTGCGCCCTCAACTAACAGTGTTGAAGCATTCTTTTGATAGAGCAGTTTTGAAACACTCTTTTTGTGGAATCTGCAAGTGGATATTTGTCTAGCTTTGAGGATTTCGTTGGAAACGGGATTACATATAAAAAGCAGACAGCAGCATTCTCAGCAAACTTATTTGTGATGTGCGCCCTCAACTAACAGTGTGGAACTTTTCTTTTGATAGAGCAGTTTTGAAACACTCTTTTTGTAAAATCTGCAAGAGGATATTTGGATAGCTTTGAGGATTTCGTTGGAAACGGGATTGTCTTCATATAGAATCTAGACAGAAGCATTCTCAGAAGCTTCATTGGGATGTTTCAATTGAAGTCACAGTGTTGAACAGTCCCTTTCATAGAGCAGGTTTGAAACACTCTTTTTGTAGTATCTGGAAGTGGACATTTGGAGCGCTCTCAGACTGCGGTGAAAAAGGAAATATCTTCCAATAAAAGCTACATAGAAGCAATGTCAGAATCTTTTTCATGATGTGTCTACTCAGCTAACAGAGTTGAACCTTCCTTTGAGAGAGCAGTTTTGAAACACTCTTTTTGTGGAATCTGCAAGTGGATATTTGTCTAGCTTTGAGGATTTCGTTGGAAACGGGATTACATATAAAAAGCAGACAGCAGCATTCCCAGAAACTTCTTTGTGATGTTTGCATTCAAGTCACAGAGTTGAACATTCCCTTTCATAGAGCAGGTTTGAAACACTCTTTTTGTAGTATCTGGATGTGGACATTTGGAGCGCTTTCAGGCCTATGGTGAAAAAGGAAATATCTTCCCCTGAAAACTAGACAGAAGTAGTCTCAGAAACTTATTTGTGATGTGCGCCCTCAACTAACAGTGTTGAAGCTTTCTTTTCACAGAGCCGTTTTGAAACACGCTTTTTGTAAAATCTGCAAGAGGATATTTGGATAGCTTTGAGGATTTCGTTGGAAACGGGATTGTCTGCATATAAACTCTAGACAGAAGCATTCTCAGAAGCGTCATTGGGATGTTTCAATTGAAGTCACAGTGTTGAACAGTCCCTTTCATAGAGCAGGTTTGAAACACTCTTTTTGTAGTATCTGGATGTGGACATTTGGAGCGCTTTCAGGCCTATGGTTTAAAAGGAAATATCTTCCCCTGAAAACTAGACAATAGCATTCTCAGAATCTTATTTGTGATGTGCGCCCTCAACTAACAGTGTTGAAGCTTTCTTTTGATAGAGCAGTTTTGAAACACTCTTTTTGTGGAATCTGCAAGTGGATATTTGTCTAGCTTTGAGGATTTCGTTGGAAACGGGATTATATATACAAAGCAGACAGCAGCATTCTCAGAAACTTATTTGTGATGTGCGCCCTCAACTAACAGTGTTGAAGCTTTCTTTTGATAGAGCAGTTTTGAAACACTCTTTTTGTAATATCTGCAAGAGGATATTTGGATAGCTTTGAGGATTTCGTTGGAAACGGGATTAATTATACAAAGCAGACAGCAGCATTCTCAGAAGCTTCTTTGGGATGTTTCAATTGAAGTCACAGTGTTGAACAGTTCCTTTCATAGAACAGGTTTGAAACACTCTTTTTGTAGTATCTGGAAGTGGACATTTGGAGCGCTCTCAGGACTATGGTGAAAAAGGAAATATCTTCCAATAAAAGCTACATAGAAGCAATGTCAGAAAATTTTTCATGATGTATCTACTCAGCTAACAGAGTTGAACCTTTCTTTTGAGAGAGCAGTTTTGAAACACTCTTTTTGTGGAATCTGCAAGTGGATATTTGTCTAGCTTTGAGGATTGCGTTGGAAACGGGATTACATATAAAAAGCAGACAGCAGCATTCCCAGAAACTTCTTTGTGATATTTGCATTCAAGTTCCAGAGTTGAACATTCCCTTTCATAGAGCAGGTTTGAAACACTCTTTTTGTAGTATCTGGATGTGGACATTTGGAGCGCTTTCAGGCCTATGGTGAAAAAGGAAATATCTTCCCCTGAAAACTAGACAGAAGCATTCTCAGAAACTTATTTGTGATGTGCGCCCTCAACTAACAGTGTTAAACCTTTCTTTTGATAGAGTAGTTTTGAAACACTCTTTTTGTAAAATCTGCAAGAGGATATTTGGATAGCTTTGAGGATTTCGTTGGAAACGGGATTGTCTTCATATAAAATCTAGACAGAAGCATTCTCAGATGCTTCATTGGGACGTTTCAATTGAAGTCACAGTGTTGAACAGTCCCTTTCATAGAGCAGGTTTGAAACACTCTTTTTGTAGTATCTGGATGTGGACATTTGGAACGCTTTCAGGCCTATGGTGAAAAAGGAAATATCTTCCCCTGAAAACTAGACAGAAGCATTCTCAGAAACTTATTTGTGATGTGCGCCCTCAACTAACAGTGTTGAAGCATTCTTTTGATAGAGCAGTTTTGAAACACTCTTTTTGTGGAATCTGCAAGTGGATATTTGTCTAGCTTTGAGGATTTCGTTGGAAACGGGATTACATATAAAAAGCAGACAGCAGCATTCTCAGAAACTTATTTGTGATGTGCTCCCTCAACTAACAGTGTTGAAGCTTTCTTTTGATAGAGCAGTTTTGAAACACTCTTTTTGTAATATCTGCAAGAGGATATTTGGATAGCTTTGAGGATTTCGTTGGAAACGGGATTGTCTTCATATAAACTCTAGACAGAAGCATTCTCAGAAACTTCATTGGGATGTTTCAATTGAAGTCACAGTTTTGAACAGTCCCTTTCATAGAGCAGGTTTGAAACACTCTTTTTGTAGTACCTGGAAATGGACATTTGGAGCGCTCTCAGGACTACGGTGAAAAAGGAAATATCTTCCAATAAAAGCTACATAGAAGCAATGTCAGAAACTTTTTCGTGATGTGTCTACTCAGCTAACAGCTTTGAACCTTTCTTTTGAGAGAGCAGTTTTGAAACACTCTTTTTGTGGAATCTGCAAGTGGATATTTGTCTAGCTTTGAGGATTTCGTTGGAAACGGGATTACATATAAAAAGCAGACAGCAGCATTCCCAGTAACTTGTTTGTGATGTTTCCATTCAAGTCACAGAGTTGAACATTCCCTTTCATAGAGCAGGTTTGAAACACTCTTTTTGTAGTATCTGGATGTGGACATTTGGAGCACTTTCAGGCCTATGGTGAAAAAGGAAATATCTTCCCCTGAAAACTAGACAGAAGCATTCTCAGAATCTTATTTGTGATGTGCGCCCTCAACTAACAGTGTTGAAGCTTTCTTTTGATAGAGCAGTTTTGAAACACTCTTTTTGTAAAATCTGCAAGAGGATATTTGGATAGCTTTGAGGATTTCGTTGGAAACGGGATTGTCTTCATATAAACTCTAGACAGAAGCATTCTCAGAAGCTTCATTGGGATGTTTCAATTGAAGTCACAGTGTTGAACAGTCCCTTTCATAGAGCAGGTTTGAAACACTCTTTTTGTAGTATCTGGATGTGGACATTTGCAGCGCTTTCAGGCCTAAGGTGAAAAAGGAAGTATCTTCCCCTGAAAACTAGACAGAAGCATTCTCAGAAACTTATTTGTGATGTGCGCCCTCAACTCACAGTGTTGAAGCATTCTTTTGATAGAGCAGTTTTGAAACACTCTTTTTGTGGAATCTGCAAGTGGATATTTGTCTAGCTTTGAGGATTTCGTTGGAAACGGGATTACATATGAAAAGCAGACAGCAGCATTCTCAGTAAACTTATTTGTGATGTGCGCCCTCAACTAACAGTGTTGAACCTTTCTTTTGATAGAGCAGTTTTGAAACACTCTTTTTGTAATATCTGCAAGAGGATATTTGGATAGCTTTGAGGATTTCGTTGGAAACGGGATTGTCTTCATATAAACTCTAGACAGAAGCATTCTCAGAAGCTTCATTGGGATGTTTCAATTGAAGTCACAGTGTTGAACAGTCCCTTTCATAGAGCAGGTTTGAAACACTCTTTTTGTAGTATCTGGAAGTGGACATTTGGAGCGCTCTCAGGACTACGGTGAAAAAGGAAATATCTTCCAATAAAAGCTACATAGAAGCAATGTCAGAAACTTTTTCATGATGTATCTACTCAGCTAACAGAGTTGAACCTTTCTTTTGAGAGAGCAGTTTTGAAACACTCTTTTTGTGGAATCTGCAAGTGGATATTTGTCTAGCATTGAGGATTTCGTTGGAAACGGGATTACATATAAAAAGCAGACAGCAGCATTCCCAGTAACTTCTTTGTGATGTTTGCATTCAAGTCACAGAGTTGAACATTCCCTTTCATAGAGCAGGTTTGAAACACTCTTTTTGTAGTATCTGGATGTGGACATTTGGAGCGCTTTCAGGCCTATGGTGAAAAAGGAAATATGTTCCCCTGAAAACTAGACAGACAAGCATTCTCAGCAATCTTATTTGTGATGTGCGCCCTCAACTAACAATGTTGAAGCTTTCTTTTGATAGAGCAGTTTTGAAACACTCTTTTTGTAAAATCTGCAAGAGGATATTTGGATGGCTTTGAGGATTTCTTTGGAAACGGGATTGTCTTCATATAAACTCTAGACAGAAGCATTCTCAGAAGCTTCATTGGGATGTTTCAATTGAAGTCACAGTGTTGAACAGTCCCTTTCATAGAGCAGGTTTGAAACACTCTTTTTGTAGTAGCTGGAAGTGGACATTTGGAGAGATCTCAGGAATAGAGTGATAAAGGAAATATCTTCCAATAAAAGCTAGATAGAAGCAATGTCAGAAACTTTTTCATGATGTATCTACTCAGCTAACAGAGTTGAACCATTCCTTTTAGAGAGCAGTTTTGAAACAGTCTTTTTGTGGAATCTGCAAGTGGATATTTGTCTAGCTTTGAGGATTTCGTTGGAAACGGGATTATATATACAAAGCAGACAGCAGCATTCCCAGAAACTTCTTTGTGATGTTTGCATTCAAGTCACAGAGTTGAACATTCCCTTTCATAGAGCAGGTTTGAAACACTCTTTTTGTAGTATCTGGTCATGTGGACATTTGGAGCGCTTTCAGGCCTATGGTGAAAAAGGAAATAATCTTCTTCCCCTGAAAACTAGACAGAAGCATTCTCAGAAACTTATTTGTGATGTGCGCCCTCAACTAACAGTGTTGAACCTTTCTTTTGATAGAGCAGTTTTGAAACACTCTTTTTGTAAAATCTGCAAGAGGATATTTGGATAGCTTTGAGGATTTCGTTGGAAACGGGATTGTCTTCATATAAACTCTAGACAGAAGCATTCTCAGAAGCTTCATTGGGATGTTTCAATTGAAGTCACAGTGTTGAACAGTCCCTTTCATAGAGCAGGTTTGAAACACTCTTTTTGTAGTATCTGGATGTGGACATTTGGAGCGCTTTCAGGCCTATGGTTTAAAAGGAAATATCTTCCCCTGAAAACTAGACAGAAGCATTCTCAGAAACTTATTTGTGATGTGCGCCCTCAATTAACAGTGTTGAACCTTTCTTTTGATAGAGCAGTTTTGAAACACTCTTTTTGTAATATCTGCAAGAGGATATTTGGATAGCTTTGAGGATTTCGTTGGAAACGGGATTACATATAAAAAGCAGACAGCAGCATTCCCAGAAACTTCTTTGTGATGTTTGCATTCAAGTCACAGAGTTGAACATTCCCTTTTATAGAGCAGGTTTGAAACACTCTTTTTGTAGTATCTGGATGTGGACATTTGGAGCGCTTTCAGGCCTATGGTGAAAAAGGAAATATCTTCTCCTGAAAACTAGACAGAAGCATTCTCAGAAACTTATCTGTGATGTGCGCCCTCAACTAACAGTGTTGAACCTTTCTTTTGATAGAGCAGTTTTGAAACACTCTTTTTGTAATATCTGCAAGAGGATATTTGGATAGCTTTGAGGATTTCTTTGGAAACGGGATTGTCTTCATATAAACTCTAGACAGAAGCATTCTCAGAAGCTTCATTGGGATGTTTCAATTGAAGTCACAGTGTTGAACAGTCCCTTTCATAGAGCAGGTTTGAAACACTCTTTTTGTAGTATCTGGAAGTGGACATTTGGAGAGATCTCAGGAATACGGTGATAAAGGAAATATCTTCCAATAAAAGCTACATAGAAGCAATGTCAGAAAATTTTTCATGATGTATCTACTCAGCTAACAGGGTTGAACCTTTCTTTTGAGAGAGCAGTTTTGAAACACTCTTTTTGTGGAATCTGCAAGTGGATATTTGTCTAGCTTTGAGGATTGCGTTGGAAACGGGATTACATATAAAAAGCAGACAGCAGCATTCCCAGTAACTTCTTTGTGATGTTTGCATTCAAGTGTCAGAGTTGAACATTCCCTTTCATAGAGCAGGTCTGAAACACTCTTTTTGTAGTATCTGGATGTGGACATTTGGAGCGCTTTCAGGCCTATGGTGAAAAAGGAAATATCTTCCCCTGAAAACTAGACAGAAGCATTCTCAGAATCTTATTTGTGATGTGCGCCCTCAACTAACAGTGTTGAAGCTTTCTTTTGATAGAGCAGTTTTGAAACACTCTTTTTGTAAAATCTGCAAGAGGATATTTGGATAGCTTTGAGGATTTCGTTGGAAACGGGATTGTCTTCATATAAACTCTAGACAGAAGCATTCTCAGAAGCTTCATTGGGATGTTTCAATTGAAGTCACAGTGTTGAACAGTCCCTTTCATAGAGCAGGTTTGAAACACTCTTTTTGTAGTATCTGGATGTGGACATTTGGAGCGCTTTCAGGCCTATGGTTTAAAAGGAAATATCTTCCCCTGAAAACTAGACAGAAGCATTCTCAGAAACTTATTTGTGATGTGCGCCCTCAACTAACAGTGTTGAAGCATTCTTTTGATAGAGCAGTTTTGAAACACTCTTTTTGTGGAATCTGCAAGTGGATATTTGTCTAGCTTTGAGGATTTCGTTGGAAACGGGATTACATATGAAAAGCAGACAGCAGCATTCTCAGTAAACTTATTTGTGATGTGCGCCCTCAACTAACAGTGTTGAACCTTTCTTTTGATAGAGCAGTTTTGAAACACTCTTTTTGTAATATCTGCAAGAGGATATTTGGATAGCTTTGAGGATTTCGTTGGAAACGGGATTGTCTTCATATAAACTCTAGACAGAAGCATTCTCAGAAGCTTCATTGGGATGTTTCAATTGAAGTCACAGTGTTGAACAGTCCTTTTCATAGAGCAGGTTTGAAACACTCTTTTTGTAGTATCTGGAAGTGGACATTTGGAACGCTCTCAGGACTGCGGTGAAAAAGGAAATATCTTCCAATAAAAGCTAGATAGAAGCAATGTCAGAAACTTTTTCATGATGTATCTACTCAGCTAACAGAGTTGAACCTTTCTTTTGAGAGAGCAGTTTTGAAACACTCTTTTTGTGGAATCTGCAAGTGGATATTAGTCTAGCTTTGAGGATTTCGTTGGAAACGGGATTACATATAAAAAGCAGACAGCAGCATTCCCAGTAACTTCTTTGTGATGTTTGCATTCAAGTCACAGAGTTGAACATTCCCTTTCATAGAGCAGGTTTGAAACACTTTTTTTGTAGTATCTGGATGTGGATATTTGGAGCGCTTTCAGGCCTATGGTGAAAAAGGAAATATCTTCCAATAAAAGCTACATAGAAGCAATGTCAGAAACTTTTTCATGATGTATCTACTCAGCTAACAGAGTTGAACCTTTCTTTTGAGAGAGCAGTTTTGAAACACTCTTTTTGTGTAATCTGAAAGTGGATATTTGTCTAGCTTTGAGGATTTCGTTGGAAACGGGATTACATATAAAAAGCAGACAGCAGCATTCCCAGTAACTCCTTTGTGATGGTTGCATTCAAGTCACAGAGTTGAACATTCCCTTTCATAGAGCAGGTTTGAAACACTCTTTTTGTAGTATCTGGATGTGGACATTTGGAGCGCTTTCAGGCCTATTGTGAAAAAGGAAATATCTTCCCCTGAAAACTAGACAGAAGCATTCTCAGAATCTTATTTGTGATGTGCGCACTCAACTAACAGTGTTGAAGCTTTCTTTTGATAGAGCAGCTTTGAAACACTCTTTTTGTAAAATCTGCAGGAGGATATTTGGATAGCTTTGAGGATTTCGTTGGAAACGGGATTGTCTTCATATAAACTCTAGACAGTAGCATTCTCAGAAGCTACATTGGGATGTTTCAATTGAAGTCACAGTGTTGAACAGTCCCTTTCATAGAGCAGGTTTGAAACACTCTTTTTGTAGTATCTGGAAGTGGACATTTGGAGTGCTCTCAGGACTACGGTGAAAAAGGAAATATCTTCCAATAAAAGCTAGATAGAAGCATTCTCAGAAACTTATTTGTGATGTGCGCCCTCAACTAACAGTGTTGAAGCTTTCTTTTGATAGAGCAGTTTTGAAACACTCTTTTTGTGGAATCTGCAAGTGGATATTTGTCTAGCTTTGAGGATTTCTTTGGAAACGGGATTACATATAAAAAGCAGACAGCAGCATTCTCAGAAACTTATTTGTGATGTGCGCCCTCAACTAACAGTGTTGAAGCTTTATTTTGATAGAGCAGTTTTGAAACACTCTTTTTGTAATATCTGCAAGAGAATATTTGGATAGCTTTGAGGATTTCGTTGGAAACGGGATTGTCTTCATATAAACTCTAGAAAGAAGCATTCTCAGAAGCTTCATTGGGATGTTTCAATTGAAGTCACAGTGTTGAACAGTCCCTTTCATAGAGCAGGTTTGAAACACTCTTTTTGTAGTATCTGGAAGTGGACATTTGGAGCGCTCTCAGGACTGCGGTGAAAAAGGAAATATCTTCCAATAAAAGCTAGATAGAAGCAATGTCAGAAACTTTTTCATGATGTATCTACTCAGCTAACAGAGTTGAACCTTCATTTGAGAGAGCAGTTTTGAAACACTCGTTTTGTGGAATCTGCAAGTGGATATTTGTCTAGCTTTGAGGATTTCGTTGGAAACGGGATTACATATAAAAAGCAGACAGCAGCATTCCCAGAAACTTCTTTGTGATGTTTGCATTCAAGTCACAGAGTTGAACATTCCCTTTCATAGAGCAGGTTTGAAACACTCTTTTTGTAGTATCTGGATGTGGACATTTGGAGCGCTTTCAGGCCTATGGTGAAAAAGGAAATATCTTCCCCTGAAAACTAGACAGAAGCATTCTCAGAAACTTATTTGTCATGTGCGCCCTCAACTAACAGTGTTGAACCTTTCTTTTGATAGAGCAGTTTTGATACACTCTTTTTGTAAAATCCGCAAGAGGATATTTGGATAGCTTTGAGGATTACGTTGGAAACGGGATTGTCTTCATATAGAATCTAGACAGAATCATTCTCAGAAGCTTCATTGGGATGTTTCAATTGAAGTCACAGTGTTGAACAGTCCCTTTCATAGAGCAGATTTGAAACACTCTTTTTGTAGTATCTGGAAGTGGACATTTGGAGCGCTCTCAGGACTACAGTGAAAAAGGAAATATCTTCCAATAAAAGCTAGATAGAAGCAATGTCAGAAAATTTTTCATGATGTATCTACTCAGCTAACAGGGTTGAACCTTTCTTTTGAGAGAGCAGTTTTGAAACACTCTTTTTGTGGAATCTGCAAGTGGATATTTGTCTAGCTTTGAGGATTGCGTTGGAAACGGGATTACATATAAAAAGCAGACAGCAGCATTCCCAGAAACTTCTTTGTGATGTTTGCATTCAAGTCACAGAGTTGAACATTCCCTTTCATAGAGCAGGTTTGAAACACTCTTTTTGTAGTATCCGGATGTGGACATTTGGAGCGCTTTCAGGCCTATGGTGAAAAAGGAAATATCTTCCCCTGAAAACTAGACAGAAGCATTCTCAGAAACTTATTTGTGATGTGCGCCCTCAACTAACAGTGTTGAACCTTTCTTTTGATAGAGCAGTTTTGAAACACTCTTTTTGTAATATCTGCAAGAGGATATTTGGATAGCTTTGAGGATTTCGTTGGAAACGGGATTGTCTTCATATAAACTCTAGACAGAAGCATTCTCAGAAGCTTCATTGGGATGTTTCAATTGAAGTCACAGTGTTGAACAGTCCCTTTCATAGAGCAGGTTTCAAACACTCTTTTTGTAGTATCTGGATGTGGACATTTGGAGCGCTTTCAGGCCTATGGTTTAAAAGGAAATATCTTCCCCTGAAAACTAGACAGAAGCATTCTCAGAAACTTATTTGTGATGTGCGCCCTCAACTAACAGTGTTGAAGCTTTCTTTTGATAGAGCAGTTTTGAAACACTCTTTTTGTGGCATCTGCAAGTGGATATTTGTCTAGCTTTGAGAATTTCGTTTGAAACGGGATTACATATAAAAAGCAGACAGCAGCATTCCCAGAAACTTGTTTGTGATGTTTGCATTCAAGTCACAGAGTTGAACATTCCCTTTCAGAGAGCAGGTTTGAAACACTCTTTTTATAGTATCTGGATGTGAACATTTGGAGCGCTTTCAGGCCTATGGTGAAAAAGGAAATATCTTCTCCTGAAAACTAGACAGAAGCATTCTCAGAAGCTTCATTGGGATGTTTCAATTGAAGTCACAGTGTTGAACAGTCCCTTTCGTAGAGCAGGTTTGAAACACTCTTTTTGTAATATCTGGAAGTGGACATTTGGAGCGTTCTCAGGACTATGGTGAAAAAGGAAATATCTTCCAATAAAAGCTAGATAGAAGCAATGTCAGAAACATTTTCATGATGTATCTACTCAGCTAACAGAGTTGAAACTTTCTTTTGAGAGAGCAGTTTTGAAACACTCTTTTGGTGGAATCTGCAAGTGGATATTTGTCTAGCTTTGAGGATTTCGTTGGAAACGGGATTACATATAAAAAGCAGACAGCAGCATTCCCAGAATCTTGTTTGTGATGTTTGCATTCAAGTCACAGAGTTGAACATTCCCTTTCAGAGACCAGGTTTGAAACACTCTTTTTATAGTATCTGGATGTGGACATTTGGAGCGCTTTCAGGCCTATGGTGAAAAAGGAAATATCTTCTCCTGAAAACTAGACAGAAGCATTCTCAGAATCTTATTTGTGATGTGCGCCCTCAACTAACAGTGTTGAAGCTTTCTTTTGATAGAGCAGTTTTGAAACACTCTTTTTGTAAAATCTGCAAGAGGATATTTGGATAGCTTTGAGGATTTCGTTGGAAACGGGATTGTCTTCATATAAACTCTAGACAGAAGCATTCTCAGAAGCTTCATTGGGATGTTTCAATTGAAGTTGCAGTGTTGAACAGTCCCTTTCATAGAGCAGGTTTGAAACACTCTTTTTGTAGTATCTGGATGTGGACATTTGGAGCGCTTTCAGGCCTATGGTTTAAAAGGAAATATCTTCCCCTGAAAACTAGACAGAAGCATTCTCAGAATCTTATTTGTGATGTGCGCCATCAACTAACAGTGTAGAAGCTTTCTTTTGATAGAGCAGTTTTGAAACACTCTTTTGGTGGAATCTGCAAGTGGATATTTGTCTAGCTTTGAGGATTTCGTTGGAAACGGGATTACATATAAAAAGCAGACAGCAGCATTCCCAGAATCTTCTTTGTGATGTTTGCATTCAAGTCACAGAGTTGAACATTCCCTTTCAGAGAGCAGGTTTGAAACACTCTTTTTATAGTATCTGGATGTGGACCTTTGGAGCGCTTTCAGGCCTATGGTGAAAAAGGAAATATCTTCTATTGAAAACTACACAGAAGCATTCCCAGAAACTTCTTTGTGATGTTTGCATTCAAGTCACAGAGTTGAACATTTCCTTTCATAGAACAGGTTTGAAACACTCTTTTTGTAGTATCTGGAAGTGGACATTTGGAGCGCTCTCAGGACTATGGTGAAAAAGGAAATATCTTCCAATAAAAGCTACATAGAAGCAATGTCAGAAACTTTTTCATGATGTATCTACTCAGCTAACAGAGTTGAACCTTTCCTTTGAGAGAGCAGTTTTGAAACACTCTTTTTGTGGAATCTGCAAGTGGATATTTGTCTAGCTTTGAGGATTTCGTTGGAAACGGGATTACATATAAAAAGCAGACAGCAGCATTCCCAGTAACTTCTTTGTGATGTTTGCATTCAAGTCACAGAGTTGAACATTCCCTCTCATAGAGCAGGTTTGAAACACTCTTTTTGTAGTATCTGGATGTGGACATTTGGAGCGCTTTCAGGCCTATGGTGAAAAAGGAAATATCTTCCCCTGAAAACTAGACAGAAGCATTCTGAGAATCTTATTTGTGATGTGCGCCCTCAACTATCAGTGTTGAAGCTTTCTTTTGATAGAGCAGTTTTGAAACACTCTTTTTGTAAAATCTGCAAGAGGATATTTGGATAGCTTTGAGGATTTCGTTGGAAACGGGATTGTCTTCATATAAACTGTAGACAGAAGCATTCTCAGAAGCTTCATTGGGATGTTTCAATTAAAGTCACAGTGTTGAACAGTCCCTTTCATAGAGCAGGTTTGAAACACTCTTTTTGTAGTATCTGGAAGTGGACATTTGGAGCGCTCTCAGGACTGCGGTGAAAAAGGAAATATCTTCCAATAAAAGCTAGATAGAAGCAATGTCAGAAACTTTTTCATGATGTATCTACTCAGCTAACAGAGTTGAACCTTCCTTTGAGAGAGCAGTTTTGAAACACTCTTTTTGTGGAATCTGCAAGTGGATATTTGTCTAGCTTTGAGGATTTCGTTGGAAACGGGTTACATATAAAAAGCAGACAGCAGCATTCCCAGAAACTTCTTTGTGATGTTTGCATTCAAGTCACAGAGTTGAACATTCCCTTTCATAGAGCAGGTTTGAAACACTCTTTTTGTAGTATCTGGATGTGGACATTTTCAGCGCTTTCAGGCCTAAGGTGAAAAAGGAAATATCTTCCCCTGAAAACTAGACAGAAGCATTCTCAGAAACTTATTTCTGATGTGCGCCCTCAACTAACAGTGTTGAACCTTTCTTTTGATAGAGCAGTTTTGAAACACTCTTTTTGTAATATCTGCAAGAGGATATTTGGATAGCTTTGAGGATTTCGTTGGAAACGGGATTGTCTTCATATAAACTCTAGACAGAAGCATTCTCAGAAGCTTCATTGGGATGTTTCAATTGAAGTTGCAGTGTTGAACAGTCCCTTTCATAGAGCAGGTTTGAAACACTCTTTTTGTAGTATCTGGATGTGGACATTTGGAGCGCTTTCAGGCCTATGGTTTAAAAGGAAATATCTTCCCCTGAAAACTAGACAGAAGCCTTCTCAGAAACTTATTGGTGATGTGCGCCCTCAACTAACAGAGTTGAACCTTTCTTTTGAGAGAGCAGTTTTGAAACACTCTTTTTGTGGAATCTGCAAGTGGATATTTGTCTAGCTTTGAGGAATTCGTTGGAAACGGGATTACATATAAAAAGCAGACAGAAGCATTCTCAGTAAACTTATTTGTGATGTGCGCCCTCAACTAACAGTGTTGAACCTTTCTTTTGATAGAGCAGTTTTGAAACACTCTTTTTGTAATATCTGCAAGAGGATATTTGGATAGCTTTGAGGATTTCGTTGGAAACGGGATTGTCTTCATATAAACTCTAGACAGAAGCATTCTCAGAAGCTTCATTGGGATGTTTCAATTGAAGTCACAGTGTTGAACAGTCCCTTTCATAGAGCAGGTTTGAAACACTCCTTTTGTAGTATCTGGAAGTGGACATTTGGAGCGCTCTCAGGACTACGGTGAAAAAGGAAATATCTTCCAATAAAAGCTAGATAGAAGCAATGTCAGAAACTTTTTCATGATGTATCTACTCAGCAAACAGAGTTGAACCTTTCTTTTGAGAGAGCAGTTTTGAAACACTCTTTTTGTGGAATCTGCAAGCGGATATTTGTCTAGCTTTGAGGATTTCGTTGGAAACGGGATTACATATAAAAAGCAGACAGCAGCATTCCCAGAAACTTCTTTGTGATGTTTGCATTCAAGTCACACAGTTGAACATTCCCTTTCATAGAGCAGGTTTGAAACACTCTTTTTGTAGTATCTGGATGTGGACATTTGGAGCGCTTTCAGGCCTATGGTGAAAAAGGAAATATCTTCCCCTGAAAACTAGACAGAAGCATTCTCAGAATCTTATTTGTGATGTGCGCACTCAACTAGCAGTGTTGAAGCTTTCTTTTGATAGAGCAGTTTTGAAACACTCTTTTTGTAAAATCTGCAAGAGGATATTTGGATAGCTTTGAGGATTTCGTTGGAAACGGGATTGTCTTCATATAAACTCTAGACAGAAGCATTCTCAGAAGCTTCATTGGGATGTTTCAATTGAAGTCACAGTGTTGAACAGTCCCTTTCATAGAGCAGGTTTGAAACACTCTTTTTGTAGTATCTGGATGTGGACATTTGGAGCGCTTTCAGGCCTATGGTGAAAAAGGAAATATCTTCCCCTGAAAACTAGACAGAAGCATTCTCAGAAACTTATTTGTGATTTGCGCCCTCAACTAACAGTGTTGAAGCTTTCTTTTGATAGAGCAGTTTTGAAACACTCTTTTTGTGGAATCTGCAAGTGGATATTTGTCTAGCTTTGAGGATTTCATTGGAAACGGGATTACATAAAAAAAGCAGACAGCAGCATTCTCAGAAACTTATTTGTGATGTGCGCCCTCAACTAACAGTGTTGAAGCTTTCTTTTGATAGAGCAGTTTTGAAACACTCTTTTTGTAATATCTGCAAGAGGATATTTGGATAGCTTTGAGGATTTCGTTGGAAACGGGATTAATTATACAAAGCAGACAGCTAGCATTCTGAGAAGCTTCATTGGGATGTTTCAATTGAAGTCACAGTGTTGAACAGTCCCTTTCATAGAGCAGGTTTGAAACACTCTTTTTGTAGCATCTGGAAGTGGACATTTGGAGCGCTCTCAGGACTACGGTGAAAAAGGAAATATCTTCCAATAAAAGCTAGATAGAAGCAATGTCAGAAACTTTTTCATGATGTATCTACTCAGCTAACAGAGTTGAACCTTTCCTTTGAGAGAGCAGTTTTGAAACACTCTTTTTGTGGAATCTGCAAGTGGATATTTGTCTAGCTTTGAGGATTTCGTTGGAAACGGGATTACATATAAAAAGCAGACAGCAGCATTCCCAGTAAACTTCTTTGTGATATTTGCATTCAAGTCACAGACTTGAACATTCCCTTTCATAGAGCAGGTTTGAAACACTCTTTTTGTAGTATCTGGATGTGGACATTTGGAGCGCTTTCAGGCCTATGGTGAAAAAGGAAATATCTTCCCCTGAAAACTAGACAGAAGCATTCTCAGAAACTTATTTGTGATGTGCGCCCTCAACTAACAGTGTTAAACCTTTCTTTTGATAGAGTAGTTTTGAAACACTCTTTTTGTAAAATCTGCAAGAGGTTATTTGGATAGCTTTGAGGATTTCGTTGTTAACGGGATTGTCTTCATATAAACTCTAGACAGTAGCATTCTCAGAAGCTTCATTGGGATGTTTCAATTGAAGTTACAGTGTTGAACAGTCTCTTTCATAGAGCAGGTTTGAAACACTCTTTTTGTAGTATCTGGATGTGGACATTTGGAGCGCTTTCAGGCCTATGGTTTAAAAGGAAATATCTTCCCCTGAAAACTAGACAGAAGCATTCTCAGAAACTTATTTGTGATGTGCGCCCTCAACTAACAGTGTTGAAGCTTTCTTTTGATAGAGCAGTTTTGAAACACTCTTTTTGTGGAATCTGCAAGTGGATATTTGTCTAGCTTTGAGGATTTCGTTGGAAACGGGATTACATATAAAAAGCAGACAGCAGCATTCTCAGAAACTTATTTGTGATGTGCGCCCTCAACTAACAGTGTTGAAGCTTTCTTTTGATAGAGCAGTTTTGAAACACTCTTTTTGTAATATCTGCAAGAGGATATTTGGATAGCTTTGAGGATTTCGTTGGAAACGGGATTAATTATACAAAGCAGACAGCAGCATTCTCAGAAGCTTCATTGGGATGTTTCAATTGAAGTCACAGTGTTGAACAGTCCCTTTCATAGAGCAGGTTTGAAACACTCTTTTTGTAGTATCTGGAAGTGGACATTTGGAGAGATCTCAGGAATACGGTGATAAAGGAAATATCTTCCAATAAAAGCTAGATAGAAGCAATGTCAGAAACTTTTTCGTGATGTATCTACTCAGCTAACAGAGTTGAACCTTTCTTTTGAGAGAGCAGTTTTGAAACACTCTTTTTGTGGAATCTGCAAGTGGATATTTGTCTAGCTTTGAGGATTTCGTTGGAAACGGGATTACATATAAAAAGCAGACAGCAGCATTCCCAGAAACTTCTTTGTGAAGTTTGCATTCAAGTCACAGAGTTGAACATTCCCTTTCATAGAGCAGGTTTGAAACACTCTTTTTGTAGTATCTGTATGTGGACATTTGGAGCGCTTTCAGGCCTATGGTGAAAAAGGAAATATCTTCCCCTGAAAACTAGACAGAAGCATTCTCAGAAACTTATTTGTGATGTGCGCCCTCAACTAACAGTGTTGAAGCTTTCTTTTGATAGAGCAGTTTTGAAACACTCCTTTTCGTAAAATCTGCAAGAGGATATTTGGATAGCTTTGAGGATTTCGTTGGAAACGGGATTGTCTTCATATAAACTCTAGACAGAAGCATTCTCAGAAGCGTCATTGGGATGTTTCAATTGAAGTCACAGTGTTGAACAGTCCCTTTCATAGAGCAGGTTTGAAACACTCTTTTTGTAGTATCTGGATGTGGACATTTGGAGCGCTTTCAGGCCTATGGTTTAAAAGGAAATATCTTCCCCTGAAAACTAGACAGAAGCATTCTCAGAAACTTATTTGTGATGTGCGCCCTCAACTAACAGTGTTGAAGCTTTCTTTTGATAGAGCAGTTTTGAAACACTCTTTTTGTGGAATCTGCAAGTGGATATTTGTCTAGCTTTGAGGATTTCGTTGGAAACGGGATTACATATAAAAAGCAGACAGCAGCATTCTCAGAAACTTATTTGTGATGTGCGCCCTCAACTAACAGTGTTGAAGCTTTATTTTGATAGAGCAGTTTTGAAACACTCTTTTTGTAATATCTGCAAGAGAATATTTGGATAGCTTTGAGGATTTCGTTGGAAACGGGATTGTCTTCATATAAACTCTAGAAAGAAGCATTCTCAGAAGCTTCATTGGGATGTTTCAATTGAAGCCACAGTGTTGAACAGTCCCTTTCATAGAACAGGTTTGAAACACTCTTTTTGTAGTACCTGGAAATGGACATTTGGAGCGCTCTCAGGACTATGGTGAAAAAGGAAATATTTTCCAATAAAAGCTAGATAGAAGCAATGTCAGAAACTTTTTCATGATGTATCTACTCAGCTAACAGAGTTGAACCTTTCTTTTGAGAGAGCAGTTTTGAAACACTCTTTTTGTGGAATCTGCAAGTGGATATTTGTCTAGCTTTGAGGATTTCGTTGGAAACGGGATTACATATAAAAAGCAGACAGCGGCATTCCCAGAAACTTCTTTGTGATGTTTGCATTCAAGTCACAGAGTTGAACATTCCCTTTCATAGAGCAGGTTTGAAACACTCTTTTTGTAGTATCTGGATGTGGACATTTACAGCGCTTTCAGGCCTAAGGTGAAAAAGGAAATATCTTCCCCTGAAAACTAGAGAGAAGCATTCTCAGAAACTTATTTGTGATGTGCGCCCTCAACTAACAGTGTTGAAGCTTTCTTTTGATAGAGCAGTTTTGAAACACTCTTTTTGTAATATCTGCAAGAGGATATTTGGATAGCTTTGAGGATTTCGTTGGAAACGGGATTGTTTTCATATAAACTCTAGACAGAAGCATTCTCAGAAGCTTCATTGGGATGTTTCAATTGAAGTCACAGTGTTGAACAGTCCCTTTCATAGAGCAGATTTGAAACACTCTTTTTGTAGTATCTGGATGTGGACATTTGGAGCGCTTTCAGGCCTATGGTTTAAAAGGAAATATCTTCCCCTGAAAACTAGACAGAAGCATTCTCAGAAACTTATTTGTGATGTGCGCCCTCAACTCACAGTGTTGAAGCATTCTTTTGATAGAGCAGTTTTGAAACACTCTTTTTGTGGAATCTGCAAGTGGATATTTGTCTAGCTTTGAGGATTTCGTTGGAAACGGGATTACATATGAAAAGCAGACAGCAGCATTCTCAGAAACTTATTTGTGATGTGCGCCCTCAACTAACAGTGTTGAAGCTTTCTTTTGATAGAGCAGTTTTGAAACACTCTTTTTGTAATATCTGCAAGAGGATATTTGGATAGCTTTGAGGATTTCGTTGGAAACGGGATTAATTATACAAAGCAGACAGCAGCATTCTCAGAAGCTTCATTGGGATGTTTCAATTGAAGTCACAGTGTTGAACAGTCCCTTTCATAGAGCAGGTTTGAAACACTCTTTTTGTAGTATCTGGAAGTGGACATTTGGAGCGCTCTCAGGACTCCGGTGATAAAGGAAATATCTTCCAATAAAAGCTGGATAGAAGCAATGTCAGAAACTTTTTCATGATGTATATACTCAGCTAACAGAGTTGAACCTTCCTTTGAGAGAGCAGTTTTGAAACACTCTTTTTGTGGAATCTGCAAGTGGATATTTGTCTAGCTTTGAGGATTTCGTTGGAAACGGGATTACATATAAAAAGCAGACAGCAGCATTCCCAGAATCTTGTTTGTGATGTTTGCATTCAAGTGACAGAGTTGAACATTCCCTTTCAGAGAGCAGGTTTGAAACACTCTTTTTATAGTATCTGGATGTGGACATTTGGAGCGCTTTCAGGCCTACGGTGAAAAAGGAAATATCTTCTCCTGAAATCTAGACAGAAGCATTCTCAGAAACTTATTTGTGATGTGCGCCCTCAACTAACAGTGTTGAAGCTTTCTTTTGATAGAGCAGTTTTGAAACACTCTTTTTGTAATATCTGCAAGAGGATATTTGGATAGCTTTGAGGATTTCGTTGGAAACGGGATTGTCTTCATATAAACTCTAGACAGAAGCATTCTCAGAAGCGTCATTGGGATGTTTCAATTGAAGTCACAGTGTTGAACAGTCCCTTTCATAGAGCAGGTTTGAAACACTCTTTTTGTAGTATCTGGATGTGGACATTTGGAGCGCTTTCAGGCCTATGGTTTAAAAGGAAATATCTTCCCCTGAAAACTAGACAGAAGCATTCTCAGAAACTTATTTGTGATGTGCGCCCTCAACTAACAGTGTTGAAGCTTTCTTTTCATAGAGCAGTTTTGAAACACTCTTTTTGTGGAATCTGCAAGTGGATATTTGTCTAGCTTTGAGGATTTCGTTGGAAACGGGATTACATATAAAAAGCAGACAGCAGCATTCTCAGAAACTTATTTGTGATGTGCGCCCTCAACTAACAGTGTTGAAGCTTTCTTTTGATAGAGCAGTTTTGAAACACTCTTTTTGTAATATCTGCAAGAGGATATTTGGATAGCTTTGAGGATTTCGTTGGAAACGGGATTAATTATACAAAGCAGACAGCAGCATTCTCAGAAGCTTCATTGGGATGTTTCAATTGAAGTCACAGTGTTGAACAGTCCCTTTCATAGAGCAGGTTTGAAACACTCTTTTTGTAGTATCTGGAAGTGGACATTTGGAGAGATCTCAGGAATACGGTGATAAAGGAAACATCTTCCAATAAAAGCTAGATAGAAGCAATGTCAGAAACTTTTTCATGATGTATCTACTCAGCTAACAGAGTTGAACCTTTCTTTTGAGAGAGCAGTTTTGAAACACTCTTTTTGTGGAATCTGCAAGTGGATATTTGTCTAGCTTTGAGGATTTCGTTGGAAACGGGATTACATATAAAAAGCAGACAGCAGCATTCCCAGTAACTTCTTTGTGATGTTTGCATTCAAGTCACAGAGTTGAACATTGCCTTTCATAGAGCAGGTTTCAAACACTCTTTTTGTAGTATCTGGATGTGGACATTTGGAGCGCTTTCAGGCCTATGGTGAAAAAGGAAATATCTTCCCCTGAAAACTAGACAGAAGCATTCTCAGAATCTTATTTGTGATGTGCGCCCTCAACGAACAGTATTGAAGCTTTCTTTTGAAAGAGCAGTTTTGAAACACTCTTTTTGTAATATCTGCAAGAGGATATTTGGATAGCTTTGAGGATTTCGTTGGAAACGGGATTGTCTTCATATAAACTCTAGACAGAAGCATTCTCAGAAGCTTCATTGGGATGTTTCAATTGAAGTCACAGTGTTGAACAGTCCCTTTCATAGAGCAGGTTTGAAACACTCTTTTTGTAGTATCTGGATGTGGACATTTGGAGCGCTTTCAGGCCTATGGTTTAAAAGGAAATATCTTCCCCTGAAAACTAGACAGAAGCATTCTCAGAAACTTATTTGTGATGTGCGCCTTCAACTAACAGTGTTGAAGCATTCTTTTGATAGAGCAGTTTTGAAACACTCTTTTTGTGGAATCTGCAAGTGGATATTTGTCTAGCTTTGAGGATTTCGTTGGAAACGGGATTACATATAAAAAGCAGACAGCAGCATTCTCAGAAACTTATTTGTGATGTGCGCCCTCAACTAACAGTGTTGAAGCTTTATTTTGATAGAGCAGTTTTGAAACACTCTTTTTGTAATATCTGCAAGAGAATATTTGGATAGCTTTGAGGATTTCGTTGGAAACGGGATTGTCTTCATATAAACTCTAGAAAGAAGCATTCTCAGAAGCTTCATTGGGATGTTTCAATTGAAGTCACAGTGTTGAACAGTCCCTTTCATAGAGCAGGTTTGAAACACTCTTTTTGTAGTATCTGGAAGTGGACATTTGGAACGCTCTCAGGACTGCGGTGAAAAAGGAAATATCTTCCAATAAAAGCTAGATAGAAGCAATGTCAGAAAATTTTTCATGATGTATCTACTCACCTAACAGGGTTGAACCTTTCTTTTGAGAGAGCAGTTTTGAAACACTCTTTTTGTGGAATCTGCAAGTGGATATTTGTCTAGCTTTGAGGATTGCGTTGGAAACGGGATTACATATAAAAAGCAGACAGCAGCATTCCCAGAAACTTCTTTGTGATGTTTGCATTCAAGTCACAGAGTTGAACATTCCCGTTCATAGAGCAGGTTTGAAACACTCTTTTTATAGTATCTGGATTTGGACATTTGGAGCGCTTTCAGGCCTATGGTGAAAAAGGAAGAATATTCCACTGAAAACTAGACAAAAGTAGTCTCAGAAACTTATTTGTGATGTGCGCCCTCAACTAACAGTGTTGAAGCTTTCTTTTGATAGAGCAGTTTTGAAACATTCTTTTTGTAAAATCTGCAAGAGGATATTTGGATAGCTTTGAGGATTTCGTTGGAAACGGGATTGTCTTCATATTAACCCTAGACAGTAGCATTCTCAGAAGCTTCATTAGGATGTTTCAATTGAAGTCACAGTGTTGAACATTCCCTTTGATAGAGCAGGTTTGAAACACTCTTTTTGTAGTATCTGGAAGTGGACATTTGGAGCGCTTTCAGGACTACGGTGAAAAAGGAAATATCTTCCAATAAAAGCTAGATAGAAGCATTCTCAGAAACTTATTTGTGATGTGCGCCCTCAACTAACAGTGTTGAAGCATTCTTTTGATAGAGCAGTTTTGAAACACTCTTTTTGTGGAATCTGCAAGTGGATATTTGTCTAGCTTTGAGGATTTCGTTGGAAACGGGTTTACATATAAAAAGCAGACAGCAGCATTCCCAGTAACTTCTTTGTGATGTTTGCATTCAAGTCACAGAGTTGAACACTCCCTTTCATAGAGCAGGTTTGAAACACTCTTTTTGTAGTATCTGGATGTGGACATTTTCAGCGCTTTCAGGCCTAAGGTGAAAAAGGAAATATCTTCCCCTGAAAACTAGACAGAAGCATTCTCAGAAGCTTCATTGGGATGTTTCAATTGAAGTCACAGTGTTGAACAGTCCCTTTCATAGAGCAGGTTTGAAACACTCTTTTTGTAGTATCTGGAAGTGGACATTTGGAGAGATCTCAGGAATACGGTGATAAAGGAAATATCTTCCAATAAAAGCTAGATAGAAGCAATGTCAGAAACTTTTTCATGATGTATCTACTCAGCAAACAGAGTTGAACTTTCCTTTGAGAGAGCAGTTTTGAAACACTCTTTTTGTGGAATCTGCAAGTGGATATTTGTCTAGCTTTGAGGATTTCGTTGGAAACGGGATTACATGTAAAAAGCAGACAGCAGCATTCCCAGAAACTTCCTTGTGATGTTTGCATTCAAGTCACAGAGTTGAACATTCCCTTTCATAGAGCAGGTTTGAAACACTCTTTTTGTAGTATCTGGATGTGGACATTTGCAGCGCTTTCAGGCCTAAGGTGAAAAAGGAAATATCTTCCCCTGAAAACTAGACAGAAGCATTCTCAGAATCTTATTTGTGATGTGCGCCCTCAACTAACAGTGTTGAAGCTTTCTTTTGGTAGAGCAGTTTTGAAACACTCTTTTTGTAAAATCTGCAAGAGGATATTTGGATAGCTTTGAGGATTTCGTTGGAAACGGGATTGTCTTCATATAAACTCTAGACAGAAGCATTCTCAGAAGCATCATTGGGATGTTTCAATTGAAGTCACAGTGTTGAACAGTCCCTTTCATAGAGCAGGTTTGAAACACTCTTTTTGTAGTATCTGGATGTGGACATTTGGAGCGCTTTCAGGCCTATGGTTTAAAAGGAAATATCTTCCCCTGAAAACTAGACAGAAGCATTCTCAGAAACTTATTTGTGATGTGCGCCTTCAACTAACAGTGTTGAAGCATTCTTTTGATAGAGCAGTTTTGAAACACTCTTTTTGTGGAATCTGCAAGTGGATATTTGTCTAGCTTTGAGGATTTCGTTGGAAACGGGATTACATATAAAAAGCAGACAGCAGCATTCTCAGAAACTTATTTGTGATGTGCGCCCTCAACTAACAGTGTTGAAGCTTTCTTTTGATAGAGCAGTTTTGAAACACTCTTTTTGTAATATCTGCAAGAGGATATTTGGATAGCTTTGAGGATTTCGTTGGAAACGGGATTAATTATACAAAGCAGACAGCAGCATTCTCAGAAGCTTCATTGGGATGTTTCAATTGAAGTCACAGTGTTGAACAGTTCCTTTCATAGAACAGGTTTGAAACACTCTTTTTGTAGTATCTGGAAGTGGACATTTGGAGCGCTCTCAGGACTACGGTGAAAATGGAAATATCTTCCAATAAAAGCTACATAGAAGCAATGTCAGAAACTTTTTCATGATGTATCTACTCAGCTAACAGAGTTGAACCTTTCCTTTGAGAGAGCAGTTTTGAAACACTCTTTTTGTGGAATCTGCAAGTGGATATTTGTCTAGCTTTGAGGATTTCGTTGGAAACGGGATTATCTTCATATAAACTCTAGACAGAAGCATTCCCAGAATCTTGTTTGTGATGTTTGCATTCATGTCACAGAGTTGAACATTCCCTTTCAGAGAGCAGGTTTGAAACACTCTTTTTATAGTATCTGGATGTGGACATTTGGAGCGCTTTCAGGCCTATGGTGAAAAAGGAAATATCTTCTCCTGAAAACTAGACAGAAGCATTCTCAGAAACTTATTTGTGATGTGAGCCCTCAACTAACAGTGTTGAACCTTTCTTTTGATAGAGCAGTTTTGAAACACTCTTTTTGTAAAATCTGCAAGAGGATATTTGGATAGATCTGAGGATTTCGTTGGAAACGGGATTGTCTTCATATAGAATCTAGACAGAAGCATTCTCAGAAGCTTCATTGGGATGTTTCAATTGAAGTCACAGTGTTGAACAGTCCCTTTCATAGAGCAGGTTTGAAACACTCTTTTTGTAGTATCTGGATGTGGACATTTGGAGCGCTTTCAGGCCTATGGTTTAAAAGGAAATATCTTCCCCTGAAAACTAGACAGAAGCATTCTCAGAAACTTATTTGTGATGTGCGCCCTTAACTAACAGTGTTGAAGCTTTCTTTTGATAGAGCAGTTTTGAAACACTCTTTTTGTGGAATCTGCAAGTGGATATTTGTCTAGCTTTGAGGATTTCGTTGGAAACGGGATTACATATAAAAAGCAGACAGCAGCATTCTCAGAAACTTATTTGTGATGTGCGCCCTCAACTAACAGTGTTGAAGCTTTCTTTTGATAGAGCAGTTTTGAAACACTCTTTTTGTAATATCTGCAAGAGGATATTTGGATAGCTTTGAGGATTTCGTTGGAAACGGGATTAATTATACAAAGCAGACAGCAGCATTCTCAGAAGCTTCATTGGGATGTTTCAATTGAAGTCACAGTGTTGAACAGTCCCTTTCATAGAGCAGGTTTGAAACACTCTTTTTGTAGTATCTGGAAATGGACATTTGGAGCGCTCTCAGGACTACGATGATAAAGGAAATATCTTCCAATAAAAGCTAGATAGAAGCAATGTCAGAAACTTTTTCATGATGTATCTACTCAGCTAACAGAGTTGAACCTTTCCTTTGAGAGAGCAGTTTTGAAACACTCTTTTTGTGGAATCTGCAAGTGGATATTTGTCTAGCTTTGAGGATTTCGTTGGAAACGGGATTACATATAAAAAGCAGACAGCAGCATTCCCAGTAACTTCTTTGTGATGTTGGCATTCAAGTCACAGAGTTGAACATTCCCTTTCATAGAGCAGAGTTTGAAACACTCTTTTTGTAGTATCTGGATGTGGACATTTGGAGCGCTTTCAGGCCTATGGTGAAAAAGGAAATATCTTCCCCTGAAAACTAGACAGAAGCATTCTCAGAAACTTATTTGTGATGTGCGCCCTCAACTAACAGTGTTGAACCTTTCTTTTGATAGAGCAGTTTTGAAACACTCTTTTTGTAATATCTGCAAGAGGATATTTGGATAGCTTTGAGGATTTCGTTGGAAACGGGATTGTCTTCATATAAACTCTAGACAGAAGCATTCTCAGAAGCTTCATTGGGATGTTTCAATTGAAGTCACAGTGTTGAACAGTTCCTTTCATAGAACAGGTTTGAAACACTCTTTTTGTAGTATCTGGAAGTGGACATTTGGAGCGCTCTCAGGACTATGGTGAAAAAGGAAATATCTTTCAATAAAAGCTAGATAGAAGCAATGTCAGAAACTTTTTCATGATGTATCTACTCAGCTAACAGAGTTGAACCTTTCCTTTGAGAGAGCAGTTTTGAAACACTCTTTTTGTGGAATCTGCAAGTGGATATTTGTCTAGCTTTGAGGATTTCGTTGGAAACGGGATTACATATAAAAAGCAGACAGCAGCATTCCCAGAAACTTCTTTGTGAAGTTTGCATTCAAGTCACAGAGTTGAACATTCCCTTTCATAGAGCAGGTTTGAAACACTCTTTTTGTAGTATCTGTATGTGGACATTTGGAGCGCTTTCAGGCCTATGGTGAAAAAGGAAATATCTTCCCCTGAAAACTAGACAGAAGCATTCTCAGAAACTTATTTGTGATGTGCGCCCTCAACTAACAGTGTTGAAGCTTTCTTTTGATAGAGCAGTTTTGAAACACTCTTTTTGTAATATCTGCAAGAGGATATTTGGATAGCTTTGAGGATTTCGTTGGAAACGGGATTGTCTTCATATAAACTCTAGACAGAAGCATTCTCAGAAGCTTCATTGGGATGTTTCAATTGAAGTCACAGTGTTGAACAGTCCCTTTCATAGAGCAGGTTTGAAACACTCTTTTTGTAGTATCTGGATGTGGACATTTGGAGCGCTTTCAGGCCTATGGTGAAAAAGGAAATATCTTCCCCTGAAAACTAGACAGAAGCATTCTCAGAAACTTATTTGTGATGTGCTCCCTCAACTAACAGTGTTGAAGCATTCTTTTGATAGAGCAGTTTTGAAACACTCTTTTTGTGGAATCTGCAAGTGGATATTTGTCTAGCTTTGAGGATTTCGTTGGAAACGGGATTACATATAAAAAGCAGACAGCAGCATTCTCAGCAAACTTATTTGTGATGTGCGCCCTCAACTAACAGTGTGGAACTTTTCTTTTGATAGAGCAGTTTTGAAACACTCTTTTTGTAAAATCTGCAAGAGGATATTTGGATAGCTTTGAGGATTTCGTTGGAAACGGGATTGTCTTCATATAGAATCTAGACAGAAGCATTCTCAGAAGCTTCATTGGGATGTTTCAATTGAAGTCACAGTGTTGAACAGTCCCTTTCATAGAGCAGGTTTGAAACACTCTTTTTGTAGTATCTGGAAGTGGACATTTGGAGCGCTCTCAGGACTGCGGTGAAAAAGGAAATATCTTCCAATAAAAGCTACATAGAAGCAATGTCAGAAACTTTTTCATGATGTATCTACTCAGCTAACAGAGTTGAACCTTTCCTTTGAGAGAGCAGTTTTGAAACACTCTTTTTGTGGAATCTGCAAGTGGATGTTTTCTAGCTTTGAGGATTTCGTTGGAAACGGGATTACATATAAAAAGCAGACAGCAGCATTCCCAGAAACTTCTTTGTGAGGTTTGCATTCAAGTCACAGAGTTGAACATTCCCTTTCATAGAGCAGGTTTGAAACACTCTTTTTGTAGTATCTGGATGTGGACATTTGCAGCGCTTTCAGGCCTAAGGTGAAAAAGGAAATATCTTCCCCTGCAAACTAGACAGAAGCATTCTCAGCAATCTTATATGTGATGTGCGCCCTCAACTAACAGTGTTGAAGCTTTCTTTTGATAGAGCAGTTTTGAAACACTCTTTTTGTAAAATCTGCAAGAGGATATTAGGATAGCTTTGAGGATTTCGTTGGAAACGGGATTGTCTTCATATAAACTCTAGACAGAAGCATTCTCAGAAGCTTCATTGGGATGTTTCAATTGAAGTCACAGTGTTGAACAGTCCCTTTCATAGAGCAGGTTTGAAACACTCTTTTTGTAGTATCTGGATGTGGACATTTGGAGCGCTTTCAGGCCTATGGTGAAAAAGGAAATATCTTCCCCTGAAAACTAGACAGAAGCATTCCCAGAAACTTCTTTGTGATATTTGCATTCAAGTCACAGAGTTGAACATTCCCTTTCATAGAGCAGGTTTGAAACACTCTTTTTGTAGTATCTGGATGTGGACATTTGGAGCGCTGTCAGGCCTATGGTGAAAAAGGAAATATCTTCCCCTGAAAACTAGACAGATAAGCATTCTCAGAAACTTATGTGTGATGTGCGCCCTCAACTAACAGTGTTGAACCTTTCTTTTGATAGAGCAGTTTTGAAACACTCTTTTTGTAAAATCTGCAAGAGGATATTTGGATAGCTTTGAGGATTTCGTTGGAAACGGGATTGTCTTCATATAAACTCTAGACAGAAGCATTCTCAGAAGCTTCATTGGGATGTTTCAATTGAAGTCACAGTGTTGAACAGTCCCTTTCATAGAGCAGGTTTGAAACACTCTTTTTGTAGTATCTGGAAGTGGACATTTGGAGAGATCTCAGGAATACGGTGATAAAGGAAATATCTTCCAATAAAAGCTAGATAGAAGCAATGTCAGAAACTTTTTCATGATGTATCTACTCAGCTAACAGAGTTGAAACTTTTTTTTGACAGAGCAGTTTTGAAACACTCTTTTTGTGGAATCTGCAGGTGGATATTTGTCTAGCTTTGAGGATTTCGTTGGAAACGGGATTACATATAATAAGCAGACGGCAGCATTCCCAGAAACTTCTTTGTGATGTTTGCATTCAAGTCACAGAGTTGAACATTCCCTTTCAGAGAGCAGGTTTGAAACACTCTTTTTGTAGTATCTGGATGTGGACATTTGGAGCGCTTTCAGGCCTATGGTGAAAAAGGAAATATCTTCCCCTGAAAACTAGACAGAAGCATTCTCAGAATCTTATTTGTGATGTGCGCACTCAACTAAGAGTGTTGAAGCTTTCTTTTGATAGAACAGCTTTGAAACACTCTTTTTGTAAAATCTGCAAGAGGATATTTGGATAGCTTTGAGGATTTCGTTGGAAACGGGATTGTCTTCATATAAACTATAGACAGAAGCATTCTCAGATGCTTCATTGGGATGTTTCAATTGAAGTCACAGTGTTGAACAGTCCCTTTCATAGAGCAGGTTTGAAACACTCTTTTTGTAGTATCTGGATGTGGACATTTGGAGCGCTTTCAGGCCTATGGTAAAAAAGGAAATATCTTCCCCTGAAAACTAGACAGAAGCATTCTCAGAAACTTATTTGTGATGTGCGCCCTCAACTAACAGTGTTGAAGCTTTCTTTTGATAGAGCAGTTTTGAAACACTCTTTTTGTGGAATCTGCAAGTGGATATTTGTCTAGCTTTGAGGATTTCGTTGGAAACGGGATTACATATAAAAAGCAGACAGCAGCATTCTCAGTAAACTTATTTGTGATGTGCGCCCTCAACTAACAGTGTTGAACCTTTCTTTTGATAGAGCAGTTTTGAAACACTCTTTTTGTAATATCTGCAAGAGGATATTTGGATAGCTTTGAGGATTTCGTTGGAAACGGGATTGTCTTCATATAAACTCTAGACAGAAGCATTCTCAGAAGCTTCATTGGGATGTTTCAATTGAAGTCAAAGTGTTGAACAGTCCCTTTCATAGAGCAGGTTTGAAACACTCTTTTTGTAGCATCTGGAAGTGGACATTTGGAGCGCTCTCAGGAATACGGTGAAAAAGGAAATATCTTCCAATAAAAGCTAGATAGAAGCAATGTCAGAAACTTTTTCATGATGTATCTACTCAGCTAACAGAGTTGAACCTTCCTTTGAGAGAGCAGTTTTGAAACACTCTTTTTGTGGAATCCGCAAGTGGATATTTGTCTAGCTTTGAGGATTTCGTTGGAAACGGGATTACATATAAAAAGCAGACAGCAGCATTCCCAGAAACTTCTTTGTGATGTTTGCATTCAAGTCACAGAGTTGAACATTCCCTTTCATAGAGCAGGTTTGAAACACTCTTTTTGTAGTATCTGGATGTGGACATTTGGAGCGCTTTCAGGCCTATGGTGAAAAAGGAAATATCTTCCCCTGAAAACTAGACAGAAGCATTCTCAGAAAGTTATTTGTGATGTGCGCCCTCAACTAACAGTGTTGAAGCTTTCTTTTGATAGAGCAGTTTTGAAACACTCTTTTTGTAAAATCTGCAAGAGGATATTTGGATAGCTTTGAGGATTTCGTTGGAAACGGGATTGTCTTCATATAAACTCTAGACAGAAGCATTCTCAGAAGCTTCATTGGGATGTTTCAATTGAAGTCACAGTGTTGAACAGTCCCTTTCATAGAGCAGGTTTGAAACACTCTTTTTGTAGTATCTGGATGTGGACATTTGGAGCGCTTTCAGGCCTATGGTTTAAAAGGAAATATCTTCCCCTGAAAACTAGACAGAAGCATTCTCAGAAACTTATTTGTGATGTGCGCCCTCAACTAACAGTGTTGAAGCTTTCTTTTGACAGAGCAGTTTTCAAACACTCTTTTTGTGGAATCTGCAAGTGGATATTTGTCTAGCTTTGAGGATTTCGTTGGAAACGGGATTACATATAAAAAGCAGACAGCAGCATTCTCAGAAACTTATTTGTGATGTGCGCCCTCAACTAACAGTGTTGAAGCTTTCTTTTGATAGAGCAGTTTTGAAACACTCTTTTTGTAATATCTGCAAGAGGATATTTGGATAGCTTTGAGGATTTCGTTGGAAACGGGATTAATTATACAAAGCAGACAGCAGCATTCTCAGAAGCTTCATTGGGATGTTTCAATTCAAGTCACAGTGTTGAACAGTCCCTTTCATAGAGCAGGTTTGAAACACTCTTTTTGTAGTATCTGGAAGTGGACATTTGGAGCGCTCTCAGGACTGCGGTGAAAAAGGAAATATCTTCCAATAAAAGCTAGATAGAAGCAATGTCAGAAACTTTTTCATGATGTATCTACTCAGCTAACAGAGTTGAACCTTCCTTTGAGAGAGCAGTTTTGAAACACTCTTTTTGTGGAATCTGCAAGTGGATATTTGTCTAGCTTTGAGGATTTCGTTGGAAACGGGTTACATAGAAAAAGCAGACAGCAGCATTCCCAGAATCTTCTTTGTGATGTTTGCATTCAAGTCACAGAGTTGAACATTCCCTTTCATAGAGCAGGTTTGAAACACTCTTTTTGTAGTATCTGGATGTGGACATTTGGAGCGCTTTCAGGCCTATGGTGAAAAAGGAAATATACTTCCCCTGAGAACTAGACAGAAGCATTCTCAGAAACTTATTTGTGATGTGCGCCCTCAACTAACAGTGTTAAACATTTCTTTTGATAGAGTAGTTTTGAAGCACTCTTTTTGTAAAATCTGCAAGAGGATATTTGGATAGCTTTGAGGATTTCGTTGGAAACGGGATTGTCTTCATATAAACTCTAGACAGTAGCATTCTCAGAAGCTTCATTGGGATGTTTCAATTGAAGTCACAGTGTTGAACAGTCCCTTTCATAGAGCAGGTTTGAAACACTCTTTTTGTAGCATCTGGAAGTGGACATTTGGAGCGCTCTCAGGGCTACGGTGAAAAAGGAAATATCTTCCAATAAAAGCTAGATAGAAGCATTCTCAGAAACTTATTTGTGATGTGCGCCCTCAACTAACAGTGTTGAAGCATTCTTTTGATAGAGCAGTTTTGAAACACTCTTTTTGTGGAATCTGCAAGTGGATATTTGTCTAGCTTTGAGGATTTCGTTGGAAACGGGATTACATATGAAAAGCAGACAGCAGCATTCTCAGCAAACTTATTTGTGATGTGCGCCCTCAACTAACAGTGTGGAACTTTTCTTTTGATAGAGCAGTTTTGAAACACTCTTTTTGTAAAATCTGCAAGAGGATATTTGGATAGCTTTGAGGATTTCGTTGGAAACGGGATTGTCTTCATATAGAATCTAGACAGAAGCATTCTCAGAAGCTTCATTGGGATGATTCAGTGGAAGTCACAGTGTTGAACAGTCCCTTTCATAGAGCAGGTTTGAAACACTCTTTTTGTAGTATCTGGAAGTGGACATTTGGAGTGCTCTCAGGACTGCGGTGAAAAAGGAAGTATCTTCCAATAAAAGCTACATAGAAGCAATGTCAGAAACTTTTTCATGATGTATCTACTCAGCTAACAGAGTTGAACCTTTTTTTTGAGAGAGCAGTTTTGAAACACTCTTTTTGTTCGATCTGCAGGTGGATATTTGTCTAGGTTTGAGGATTTCGTTGGAAACGGGATTACATATAAAAAACAGACAGCAGCATTCCCAGAAACTTCTTTGTGATGTTTGCATTCAAGTCACAGAGTTGAACATTCCCTTTCATAGAGCAGGTTTGAAACACTATTTTTGTAGTATCTGGATGTGGACATTTGGAGCGCTCTCAGGCCTATGGTGAAAAAGGAAATATCTTCCCCTGCAAACTAGACAGAAGAATTCTCAGAATCTTATTTGTGATGTCCGCCCTCAACTAACAGTGTTGAAGCTTTCTTTTGATAGAGCAGTTTTGAAACACTCTTTTTGTAAAATCTGCAAGAGGATATTTGGATAGCTTTGAGGATTTCGTTGGAAACGGGATTGTCTTCATATAAACTCTAGACAGAAGCATTCTCAGTAAGCTTCATTGGGATGTTTCAATTGAAGTTACAGTGTTGAACAGTCCCTTTCATAGAGCAGGTTTCAAACACTCTTTTTGTAGTATCTGGATGTGGACATTTGGAGCGCTTTCAGGCCTATGGTTTAAAAGGAAATATCTTCCCCTGAAAACTAGACAGAAGCATTCTCAGAAACTTATTTGTGATGTGCGGCCTTCAACTAACAGTGTTGAAGCATTCTTTTGATAGAGCAGTTTTGAAACACTCTTTTTGTGGAATCTGCAAGTGGATAATTGTCTAGCTTTGAGGATTTCGTTGGAAACGGGATTACATATAAAAAGCAGACAGCAGCATTCTCAGTAAACTTATTTGTGATGTGCGCCCTCAACTAACAGTGTTGAACCTTTCTTTTGATAGAGCAGTTTTGAAACACTCTTTTTGTAATATCTGCAAGAGGATATTTGGATAGCTTTGAGGATTTCGTTGGAAACGGGATTGTCTTCATATAAACTCTAGACAGA